>NC_000012.12:30443943-30596638 GCF_000001405.40 Homo sapiens | reverse complement strand
AACTACAGCCCTGCCCTTAAAGACTTCGTGCTGGGGAATTTTCACAGTGCTTAGCACGTGAGGCTGGGCTACTCCAGAAACCCTTGTAGATGCTGCAGAGAGTGAAGGATACTGTAGCACTTTAAAAATATTGCAGAATAATTTACTTAAAATGAATTCTCCTTTTTAAGCGTATAGTTCAATGAGTTCTGGCAAATGTATCGTCATCTAACCATCATTACTCTCAAGATACAGAAATGTCCATCACCCCCAAGAGTTCCTGTATACTCCTTTTCAGTCATTCCCATCCATTACCACCACTGCCTGCCAACCACTAGTCTGTTTTCTATGCTTATAGCACTGTCTTTTCTAGAATGCTATATAGATGGAATGTGGAATATGTATATTTTTGCATACATGTGTTAGTAATTCATTCTTTTTATTGCTGAGGAATATTCCATTGTACATATATAGCATTATTTGGTTATCTGTTCTCCAGTTGGGTATTTGGGTTGTTTCCTATTTTTGACTACTCAATATAGCTGCTATGAACGTTCATGTAGAGGCCTCTGTGTAAACATAGGTATTTGTTTCTTTTGTGTAAACACCTAGGATTTGGATTGGTGTGTTGTATGGTAGATGCATTATTACTTTTACTAGAAACTTCCATACTGTTTTCCAACGTGACTGTATGAGGGTCTAGTTGCTCCGTATCCTTGCCAACACTTGGTGTTGTCGATCATTTTGATTTTGTATTGTATTGGTATGTAGAGGTACCTTGCAGTTTCAGTTTGCATTTTCCTGATGAGTAATGATTTTGAGCATCTTTTCACATGCTTGCTGGCCATTTGTATATCGTCTCTGATGAGGTGTCCAGATCTTTTGCTCATTTTTCACTAGGTTGTTTGTCTTAATATGAGTTGTATTTTTATTATTGAGTCGTTATTATTGGGTAAGAGTTTTAAATATATATTCAAGATACAAGCTCTTTTTTTGTGTTTGGAAATATTTTTACCTAGTCTAACTGATTTGTCTTTTCATTTTTTTTTTTTTTACAAATATACAATTTTATTCTAAGGGAATATTTCTGTAGTTTCTGCAAGGGGAAAACCTAAAAGAGGTTAAAAACTGAAAAAGAACAGAAAGGATGATTTAGATGTTTCTCTTTTTGTTTGATGTTTTTTTCTCCCCTGGAAAAAAATGTAATTTTACACAATTTTCGTAAAATTAAAAAAGTAATAATCAGATGCACACATCAACAGCTACACTTATGAGGAATGACCAATAATTAATCAATATTTTCTCTTATGAATAAATGTAGGATTCTGGGCAACTCTGTGGACTAACAAGCAAATGAAATCCTGATACAGTCATTTATCTGTATGATTAATTCCATCTGTGGTTGTCATTTCTGACTGGAAAACTTTTCATTTTCTTAAGAGTGTTTTTCAAATAGTAGTAGTGTTTAATTTTGATGATGACCAGTTTAACAATTTTCTTCTTTTGTAGTTTGTGCTTTTTATAGTTTGGGAGAAATCTTTGCGTAACACAAGGTCAATGTGTTATGGGTTGAATTGTATTCCCCCTGCCCCCCAATTAATATGTTGAAGCCCTAACCCCCAATAAGCCCTAAGGTAAGGTAAGGTAAACCCTACCTTAGAATGTGACCTTGTTTGGAAATAGGGTCTTCACAGAGATGATCAAGTTAAAATGGGGTTATTGGGGGTGGGTTCTAATCCAATAGGACTGGTGTCCTTATGTAAAGGGTATATCTGAGGACAGATACACACACAGGGAGAATGCCATGTAAACATAAAAGCAGAGTTGGGGTGATAATTTACAAGCTGAGGAATGCCAAAAGTGCCAGGAGAGTACTAGAGAAGGAGAGAAGCATGGAACAGATTCTCTCTCACAGCGCTCAGAGGGAACAGCCCTGCTGACACTTTGACCTTGGACTTTCAGCCCCCAGAACTGTGAGATAATACATTTCTGTGATTTAAGTCCTCAGTTTGTGGTACTTAATTCTAGCAGCCTTAGCAAATAGTCACCAAACCACTAAGATTTTCTTTTTTTTTTTTTTTTCTAGAAGTCCTGTGGTACTTTTTTTTTGTATTTATCTGCATTTATTTTATTATTATTATTTTTAAATTTTATTATTATCATACTTTAAGTTTTCAGGTACATGTGCACAATGTGCAGGTTTGTTACATATGTATACACGTGCCATGTTGGTGTGCTGCACCCATTAACTCATCATTTAGCATTAGGTATATCTCCTAATGCTATCCCTCCCCCTCCCCCCACCCCACAACAGTCCCCGGAGTGTGATGTTCCCCTTCCTGTGTCCATGTGTTCTCATTGTTCAATTCCCATCTATGAGTGAGAACATGCGGTGTTTGGTTTTTTGTCCTTGCGATAGTTTGCTGAGAATGATGGTTTCCAGTTTCATCCATGTCCCTACAAAGGACGTGAACTTATCATTTTTTATGGCTGCATAGTATTCCATGGTGTATATGTGCCACATTTTCTTAATCCAGTCTATCATTGATGGACATTTGGCTTGGTTCCAAGTCTTTGCTATTGTGAATAGTGCCACAGTAAACATATGTGTGCATGTGTCTTTATAGCAGCATGATTTATAATCCTTTGGGTATATACCCAGTAATGGGATGGCTGGGTCAAATGGTATTTCTAGTTCTAGATCCCTGAGGAATCGCCACACTGACTTCCACAATGGTTGAACTAGTTTACAGTCCCACCAACAGTGTAAAAGTGTTCCTATTTCTCTACATCCTCTCCAGCACCTGTTGTTTCCTGACTTTTTAATGATTGCCATTCTAATTGGTGTGAGATGGTATCTCATTGTGGTTTTGATTTGCATTTCTCTGATGGCCAGTGATGATGAGCATTTTTTCATGTGTTTTTTGTCTGCATAAATGTCTTCTTTTGAGAAGTGTTTGTTCATCTCCTTTGCCCACTTTTTGATGGGGTTGTTTGTTTGTTTCTTGTAAATTTGTTTGAGTTCATTGTAGATTCTGGATATTAGCCCTTTGTCAGATGAGTAGGCTGCGAAAATTTTCTCCCATTTTGTGGGTTGCCTCTTCACTCTGATGGTAGTTTCTTTTGCTGTGCAGAAGCTCTTTAGTTGAATTAGAATCCATTTGTCAATTTTGGCTTTTGTTGCCATTGCTTTTGGTGTTTTAGACATGAAGTCCTTGCCCATGCCTATCTCCTGAATGGTATTGCCTAGGTTTTCTTCTAGGGTTTTTATGGTTTTAGGTCTAACATGTAAGTCTTTAATCCATCTTGAATTAATTTTTGTATAAGGTGTAAGGAAGGGATCCAGTTTCAGCTTTCTACATATGGCTAGCCAGTTTTCCCAGCACCATTTATTAAATAGGGAATCCTTTCCTCATTGCTTGTTTTTGTCAGGTTTGTCAAAGATCAGATGGTTGTAGATATGCGGCATTATTTCTGAGGGCTCTGTTCTGTTCCATTGATCTGTATCTCTGTTTTGGTACCAGTACCATGCTGTTTTGGTTACTGTAGCCTTGTAGTATAGTTTGAAGTCAGGTAGCGTGATGCCTCCAGCTTTGTTCTTTTGGCTTAGGATTGACTTGGTGATGCGGGCTCTTTTTTTGGTTCCATATGAACTTTAAAGTAGTTTTTTCCAATTCTGTGAAGAAAGTCATTGGTAGCTTGATGGGGATGGCATTGAATCTATAAATTACCTTGGGCAATATGTCCATTTTCACGATATTGATTCTTCCTACCCATGAGCATGGAATGTTCTTCCATTTGTTTGTATCCTTTTTTATTTCATTGAGCACTGGTTTGCAGTTCTCCTTGAAGAGGTCCTTCACATCCCTTGTAAGTTGGATTCCTAGGTATTTTATTCTCTTTGAAGCAATTGTGAATGGGAGTTCACTCATGATTTGGCCCTCTGTTTGTCTGTTATTGGTGTATAAGAATGCTTGTGATTTTTGTACATTGATTTTGTATCCTGAGACTTTGTTGAAGTTGCCTATCAGCTTAAGGAGATTTTGGACTGAGACAATGGGGTTTTCTAGATATACAATCATGTCATCTGCAAACAGGGACAACTTGACTTCCTCTTTTCCTAATTGAATACCCTTCATTTCCTTCTCCTGCCTAATTGCCCTGGCCAGAACTTCCAACACTATGTTGAATAGGAGTGGTGAGAGAGGGCATCCCTGTCTTGTGCCTGTTTTCAAAGGGAATGCTTCCAGTTTTTGCCCATTCAGTATGATATTGGCTGTGGGTTTGTCATAGATAGCTCTTATTATTTTGAGATACATCTATTGATACCTAGTTTATTGACAGTTTTTAGCATGAAGGGCTGTTGAATTTTGTCGAAGGCCTTTTCTGCATCTATTGAGATAATCATGTGGTTTTTGTCTTTGGTTCTGTTTATATGCTGGATTACATTTATTGATTTGCATATGTTGAACCAGCCTTGCATCCCAGGGATGAAGCCCACTTGAGCATGGTGGATAAGCTTTTTGATGTGCTGCTGGATTCGGTTTGCCAATATTTTATTGAGGATTTTTGCATCAATGTTCATCAAGGATATTGGTCTAAAATTCTCTTTTTTGGTTTTGTCTCTGCCAGGCTTTGGTATCATGATGATGCTGGCCTCATAAAATGAATTAGGGAGGATTCCCTCTTTTTCTATTGATTGGAATAGTTTCAGAAGGAATGGTACCAGCTCCTCCTTGTACCTCTGGTAGAATTCGGCTGTGAATCCATCTGGTCCTGGACTTTTTTTGGTTGGTAAGCTATTGATTATTGCCTCAATTTCAGAGCCTGTTATTGGTCTATTCAGAGATTTGACTTCTTCCTGGTTTAGTCTTGGGAGGGTGTATGTGTCGAGGAATTTATCCATTTCTTCTAGATTTTCTAGTTTATTTGCGTAGAGGTGTTTGTAGTATTCTCTGGTGGTAGTTTGTATTTCTGTGGGATCGGTGGTGATATCCCCTTTATCATTTTTTATTGCGTCTATTTGATTCTTCTCTCTTTTCTTCTGTATTAGTCTTGCTAGCGGTCTATCAATTTTGTTGATCTTTTCAAAAAACCAGCTCCTGGATTCATGAATTTTTGAAGGGTTTTTTTGTGTCTCTATGTCCTTTAGTTCTGCTCTGATTTTTGTTATTTCTTGCCTTCTGCTAGCTTTTGAATGTGTTTGCTCTTGCTTTTCTAGTTCTTTTAATTGTGATGTTAGGGTGTCAATTTTGGATCTTTCCTGCTTTCTCTTGTGGGCATTTAGTGCTATAAATTTCCCTTTACACACTGCTTTGAATGGATCCCAGAGATTCTGGTATGTTGTATCTTTGTTCTCATTGGTTTCAAAGAACATCTTTATTTCTGCCTTCATTTCATTAGGTACCCAGTAGTCACTCAGGAGCAGGTTGTTCAGTTTCCATGTAGTGGAGCGGTTTTGAGTGGGTTTCTTAATCCTGAGTTCTAGTTTGATTGCACTGTGGTCTGAGAGACAGTTTGTTATAATTTCTGTTCTTTTACATTTGCTGAGGAGTGCTTTACTTCCAACTATGTGGTCAGTTTTGGAATAGGTGTGATGTGGTGCTGAAAAAAATGTATATTCTGTTGATTTGGGGTGGAGAGTTCTGTAGATGTCTATTAGGTCTGCTTGGTGCAGAGCTGAGTTCAATTCCTGGGTATCCTTGTTAACTTTCTGTCTTGTTGATCTGTCTAATGATGACAGTGGAGTGTTAAAGTCTTCAATTATTATTGTGTGGAAGTCAAAGTCTCTTTGTAGGTCACTAAGGACTTGCTTTATGAATCTGGATGCTCCTTTATTGGGTGCATATATATTTAGGATAGTTAGTTCTTCTTGTTGAATTGATCCCTTTACCATTATGTAATGGCCTTCTTTGTCTCTTTTGATCTTTGTTGGTTTAAAGTCTGTTTTATCAGAGACTAGGATTGCAACCCCTGCCTTTTTTTGTTTTCCATTTGCTTGGTAGATCTTCCTGCATCCCTTTATTTTGAGCCTATGTGTGTCTCCGCATGTGAGATGGGTTTCCTGAATACAGCACACTGATGGGTCTTGAGTCTTTATCCAATTTGCCAGTCTGTGTCTTTTAATTGGAGCATTTAGCCCATTTACATTTAAGGTTAACATTATTATGTGTGAATTTGGTCCTGTCATTATGATGATAGCTGGTCATTTTGCTCGTTAGTTGATGCAGTTTCTTCCTAGCCTTGATGGTCTTTACATTTTGGCATGTTTTTGCAGTGGCTGGTACCAGTTGTTCCTTTCCATGTTTAGTGCTTCCTTCAGGAGCTCTTTTAGGGCAGGCCTGGTGGTGACAAAATCTCTCAGCATTTGCTTGTCTGTAAAGTATTTTATTTCTCCTTCACTTATGAAGCTTAGTTTGGCTGGATATGAAATTCTGGGTTGAAAATTCTTTTCTTTAAGAATGTTGAATATTGGCCCCCACTCTCTTCTGGCTTATAGAGTTTCTGCCGAGAGATCTGCTGTTAGTCTGATGGGCTTCCCTTTGTGGGTAACCCGACCTTTCTCTCTGGCTGCCCTTAACATTTTTTCCTTCATTTCAACTTTGGTGAATCTGACAATTATGTGTCTGGGAGTTGCTCTTCTCGAGGAGTATCTTTGTGGCGTTCTCTGTATTTCCTGAATCTGAATGTTGGCCTGCCTTGCTAGATTGGGGAAGTTCTCCTGCATAATATCCTGCAGAGTGTTTTCCAACTTGGTTCCATTCTCCCCATCACTTTCAGGTACACCAATGAGACGTAGATTTGGTCTTTTCACATAGTCCCATATTTCTTGGAGGCTTTGCTCATTTCTTTTTATTCTCTTTTCTCTAAACTTCCCTTCTCCTTTCATTTCATTCATTTTGTCTTCCATCACTGATACCCTTTCTTCCAGTTGATCGCATCAGCTCCTGAGGCTTGTGCATTCGTCACATAGTTCTCGAACCTTGGCTTTCAGCTCCATCAGCTCCTTTAAGGACTTCTCTGCATTGGTTATTCTAGTTATCCATTCGTCTAATTTTTTTTCAAAGTTTTTAACTTCTTTGCCATTGGTTTGAATTTCCTCCTGTAGCTCAGAGTAGTTTGATCGTCTGAAGCCTTCTTCTCTCAACTCGTCAAAGTCATTCTCCGTCCAGCTTTGTTCTGTTACTGGTGAGGAGCTGTGTTCCTTTGGAGGAAGAGAGGTGCTCTGCTTTCTAGGGTTTCCTGTTTTTCTGCTCTGTTTTTTCCCCATCTTTGTGGTTTTATCTACTTTTGGTCTTTGATGATGGTGACATACAGATGGGTTTTTGGTGTGGATGTCCTTTCTGTTTGTTAGTTTTCCTTCTAAGAGACAGGACCCTTAGCTGCAGGTCTGTTGGAGTTTGCTAGAGGTCCACTCCAGACCCTGTTTGCCTGGGTATCAGCAGCGGTGTTTGCAGAACAGTGGTTTTTCGTGAACCGCAAATGCTGCTGTCTGATCGTTCCTCTGGAAGTTTTGTCTCAGAGGAGTACCCGGCCGTGTGAAGTGTCAGTCTGCCCCTACTGGGGGGTGCCTCCCAGTTAGGCTGCTTAGGGGTCAGGGGTCAGGGACCCACTTGAGGAGGCAGTCTGCCCGTTCTCAGATCTCCAGCTGCATGCTGGGAGAACCACTGCTCTCTTCAAAGCTGTCAGACAGGGACATTTAAGTCTGCAGAGGTTACTGCTGTCTTTTTGTTTGTCTGTGCGCTGCCCCCAGAGGTGGAGCCTACAGAGGCAGGCAGGCCTCCTTGAGCTATGGTGGGCTCCACCCAGTTCGAGCTTCCCGGCTGCTTTGTTTACCTAAGCAAGCCTGGGCAATGGCGGGCGCCCCTCCCCCAGCCTGGCTGCCGCTTTGCAGTTTGATCTCAGACTGCTATGCTAGCAATTAGGGAGACTCCGTGGGCGTAGGACCCTCTGTGCCATGTGCGGGATATAATCTCCTAGTGTGCCGTTTTTTAAGCCCGTTGGAAAAGCGCAGTATTAGGGTGGGAGTGACCCGATTTTCCAGGTGCAGTCTGTCACCCCTTTCTTTGACTAGGAAAGGGAACTCCCTGACCCCTTGAACTTCCCGAGTGAGGCAATGCCTCATCCTGCTTCGGCTCACGCACGGTGCGCTGCACCCACTGTCCTGCACCCACTGTCTGGCACTCCCTAGTGAGATGAACCTGGTACCTCAGATGGAAATGCAGAAATCACCCATCTTCTGCGTCGCTCACGCTGGGAGCTGTAGATCGGAGCTGTTCCTATTTGGCCATCTTGGCTCCACCCTCATTTATCTGCCTATGGTACTTTTATAAGATCAATCTGGAAGAGGTATGAAAAAGTGTTCCTGAGATCAAAATGATTTCAGAGGGTCTTTAAAGAACTAGGTGATACTTGTAGCAATAAAGCTTTTATTAGAATAAAGATTATGCCTCATTCCTGGCAAGTAGAGAGAGGAGGATTTCATCTTTGTGTACACAAATTTGATTAGACTAAAAAGCCATAAAAGTTTGGCATCTGTCTTGCTGTAACTAAATGAATTAGAAATATAAATTTTTGGACCAAAAGCTACAGTTTGCTGAGCCATCATTCTTTTATTTTATTTTAAACAATTTGATGCTGCTAGGTAGTACCCAAATAGAAGGTTTTGGAATTAAGGAGCAAAAGTGCTGAGCTGGGTATTTAGTAACTACCACAGGCAAAGAGGCTTGCATTAGGCTTTTAGCAGAGCGCATTGTCTGATTGGTGTCTCAGCAGTGTTGGTACCATCCTCTATTTAACTGACCTTGAAAACAGAAAATTCAACTAGATTTTATGGAGGGCTTATATATACTCAAGTGCTGTCAGGGTAGATAGAAGTCTATGAGATGAAGACCCAATGCTTAAAAAATCTATAGCACATTAGATTCTAGCCACTCCTATCTACTGAAGTAATTCTGCAATTCTCATGCCTTTTTATGACAGTTCTGGGGGATCAGTCCCATGCTGGAATGCTCAATAAAGAATTATAAGCATGCTAGATGGCAGAGAATGCCAACTTATTACAAAGACTTGCTGCAGTATTCCACAAAAAAGTATGATGCGTGGATGAGAATGATGATATCCCATTTCTATGAATTAAATAGAAGGGGAGCATTATAACTGTTTTGCAAATGAGGAGACTGAGTCAGACAGAGGCTAGAAGGATCTGCCTAGACATACTAGTAATAAGTATTTAGTAAAGGCTTTCACCTGCAGCTTTTTTTCTTCTTAAGATTCTGGTCATGAGTATCTTCTTTTCTATTACAAAATCTTTGTTCATCAGGCTGTATGGAAGATTATTTTTCAGCAAATTTCCAGTCCTTCCCTTGCCTCAACCTCTATGGGTACCTTCTCTCCTTGGTGCACGTGCTTGACTTTGGGCTTAGCCACCTGGATTGCCTTAGCCAATGGGATGACCACAGATGTGAGCAGAAGCTTAGAATGTGCTTGCATATTTAGGTGTGGTCTCTTGAGCTCTTGTCTTTCACTATGAACAGAATATGCTGTGAGTACTGCTAATCTAAGAAAGACAAGAGACGTGGAAAGGCCTGGGCCCAGCCATGGAGTTAGGAGTCAGGCCCAGCCAAGCCTAGCCCAGATTAGCCAAACCTACAAGTCAGTAAGTGAGTGAGTAATAGATGGCTGCAAACCACTGAAATTTCCAGGTTGTTTTGTTAAATACCCTTGTTTTGGTCATACGAAATTAATACATACTTTTGTAAAGGTGCAACATAGTTATGGGTAGCACATTGCAGCACACAATGCTCATGTACTACATACACTGGAAACAGAATGAGAATGGAGGAGCCTTGATGAAATGAATGACTTGAAGAAATGGCACAGGACTGGAAATCAGAAGACTTGGGTTGTCGTGAGGTTTCGACCTTCTATTCTTATGAAGTTTTGACTCTGTGTCAGGTGTGTTTCTAGCAGTTTTAACTCATCCAATTCTCATAACAATTGTTTGAGGTAAGTGCATTATTATTCCCACTTTAAGGTTGAGGAAATTGAGGCACAGAAGGATTAAGAAACTAACCAAGATCTCATAGCGAGTAAGTAGCTGAACTGACCTTGGTACCAGACAGTGTCATGGATGCCTCATGCGCCACCCAGATTTCCTGTTCAGAACTGAAGTGCTCACTCCTTCAGCCTCTGGGAGAGCTGGCTCCTGGTGGCTGTCAGGTGTGTCCCTCTCTGGACATTGTTCTTGACCAAAGGGAGCTGCCTTGCCCAAAGTTAGATCCTTTATTGGGGTTAGCCCATAACCAATATCTGGTCAATGTGTGGACTAATGGCCTGGTCAAAACCCTTTGCCTATATTTGAGGCAACTTGAAGTCCCTTTCCAACTCAAGGGTTCTCTGCAAGATCAAATTCGTCCTGTGTAGCTCCTTCATCACCTCTGCCCAACCCTGCTTCTCTCATTTTCTTACAGGTATTGGTTTTGAAAATGCTCCCAAGGAAAGCTGCATACAAATATCCATCTCAGAGTCTAATTCCAAGGAACCCAGTCCAGATGGCTGCCTTCCAGAGTCTGGGTTCTCTGCCACTGTTTGATATTGTAAGTCACCACTCTGAGCTGCTCTGAGGTTATCGGGAAACAGGTCAAACTCAGTTTTACTTAGACTCTCACTCAACAATCATGATGTGTAGGTTTTTCTCCACACACTAAGCAAGCAATCAATTCTGCAGGGCACACTAGCTGGGTGTCCTCTAAATCAATTCACTGTGACACTATCTACTTGGAGATAGCATCAGATCCCACTGGTTGAGGGCTCACTCCACAAGACTGCTCCCACCACTGATGCTGACTGCAAGCCCCAGGTTGTTTTACCTGTGCTTCTGATCAAAGAGCTATAAATCAGGGTTTCCACAACCCCCTCCTCAGGTTCGATTAATTTGCTAGAGCAGCTCACAGAACTGAGGGATGTGCACATTTATCTTTACTGGTTTATTATAAAGGATATTACAAGGGATACAGATGAGCACCAGATGAAGAGATGGATAGGGCAATGTGTGGGGGAAGGAAGAAGAATAGAGCTTTCACGCCTTCTCTGGGTGCACCACCAGAGAAGGAGCCTTGGCTATGTGGAAGCTCATCTGAACTGTCTTTTTGGGTTTTTATGGAGGCTTCAGTATGTAGACACAATTGATTAAACCATTCGCTATTGGTGAGCAACTTAACCTTCAGTCCCTCTCCCCTCTCTTACAGGTTGGGGGGTGAGGCTGAAAGTCTCAACCCTCTAATCATGATTTGGTCTTTCTGGTGGCCAGCCCCCATCCTGAAACTACCTAGGGATGGCCAGGCACCAGTCATCTCATTAGCATGTAAAAAGCACTCTTACCACTTCAGAGAGTCCAAGGATTTAAGGAGTTACATGCCAGGAAACCTGGACAAAGGCTAAATATATTTTATAATATCACAGCTTCATTATTAAGTAGGGATCATAATACTGCCTTATTTAGAGGATTAAGAGTGGTAGCACTTTACATTTGTTTTCACTCTGCCCCACCCTTTCCCACTCCACTGAGGCTGTTTCCATGGAGGTCATCAATGACTTCTAATGGCAAAACCTAAGTAATATTGTTTATGCTGGCCTATCTGCATTGGATGCTTCCGTCACTTTCTCCCATCTGTTCTTGGGAACTTTTATAATTGTTTCCCACAGGATTCCAACTCTCCTTTTATTCAACTAACATCTACATATTTGTAACTCCCTACCCCAGCTTCTTTCCCAAGCTGGGGATTATATAAGCAGTTGAGTATGCATTGCCATTTGATGTCTCCCAAGTTTTTTAAACAGCATTTCCAAAATTAAAATCATTGTTTTCTTCACCATTTTCTCTGCTCCTTCTTCTATATTTTTCTTTCATTAATGATACCATCTTTCTTTTCTTTTCTTTTCTTTTTTTTTTTTTTTTTTGAGGCAGGGTCTTGCTGTGTCACCCAGGCCAGAGTGGAGCAATCTTGGTTCACGGCAACCTCCGCCTCCTGGTCTCAAGTGATTCACTTCAGCCTCCTGAGTAGCTGGGACTATAGGTGCATGCCACCACACCTGGCTAATTTTTGTATTTTTTTTTTGTAGAGACTGGGTTTTGCCATGTTTCCTAGATTGGTTTTGAACTCTTGGGCTCCAGTGATCCTCCTGCCTCGGCCTCCCAAAGTGCTGGGATTACAGATGTGAGCAGCCGTGCCTGGCCTGACACCATCTGTCTAGGTCATGATACAAATACAAGGATATCTTTCTTGAATACTCTTTCCTCATCTCATACTAAAGCAATAAGTCTGGCTACTTTTATCCATGTCCCCAAAACTTCTCCAATATGTCCATCTTCTCTGTTCCTCCTACGATTGTCCTGCTTGAAGCCTTCATCATCCCTCATCTGAACTATGTCAATAGCCTCCCTAATGATTTTCTTGCACCCAACCTTGCTTTCTCAAAGCCATCCTTCAAAGCACAGCCTAAGTGGTCTATCTAAAAGGAAAATCTGATTGTGCTAGCTCCCCATTGTCTATAGGGTAATGTCCAATCTTCTTTTTCTTTTTTTTTTTGTTGACACAGAGTTTCAATCTTGTTGCCCAGGCTGGAGTGCAATGGCGTGATGTTGGCTTGCCGCAACCTCCAGCTTCCAGGTTCAAGTGATTCGCCTGCCTCAGCCTCCCAAGTAGCTGGGATTACAGGCATGTGCCACCACGCCCGGCTAATTTTGTATTTTTAGTAGAGACGGGGTTTCTCCATGTTGGTCAGTCTGGTCTCGAACTCCCGACCTCAGGTGATCTGCCCACGTCAGCCTCCCAAAGTGCTGCGATTACAGGCATGAGCCACAGCATCCGGCCCCAGTCTTACAATAGAAAGCTCTGTATGATCTGGCAATACACCATGGTGGCTCAGATGTAGGTTTAAGAGTCAATTGTATGAGACTCTTGGCAATACTGCTCATTAGTCGTGTGGCTTTGGGCAAAAAACTTAACTTTTCTGACAGAATGAGAATATAATAAAGATTTCTACCTGCAATAGTTAGTCACCAAATACCCACACACTTCCCTAGATTTCTCAGCCTTTCCTGAAGTTAAGTCAGGGTCACGTGGCTATTTCTGGCCAATTGACTGGAAGTGGAGTTGATGTGAGCCCTGTGACCTTCCATCATCTTTCTCTTTTCTTGCTGTGACCACCTTGGAGATGTTCAGGATGGCATAGCTGGTTGAGGTAGGCAGACTGCCTGACCCTCATTGAACTTAATGGGTTATTTTTCAGTTTCATTATTGTATTAAGCCCCTGAAATTTCAGGGTTTTTCTATTTAGGCAGCATTAATAACCATGACAAACTACCCCATTGAGTTGTTAGAATGGATCAGCTGAGATAATGCATGAAAGCATGTAGCACCCTGCTCAATACAAGTCTTCTTATCCTGTCTTGAGTTCCACATGCCTGCACTTCTGAGTTACTTTATACAACATTCTTTCTCAAGCCTTCATGCTGTCCCTTGTGCCTGGAATGCCCTTCTGTGACTCACACAATCTTCAAAACTTGGCTAAGGTAGCACCTTTCCTGGTCTCCTCAGCCTCAGTTAAATGTTCCTGACTTCAGTCTCATAGCAGAGTATTTATCCCTTCACCAATGTATGTATACTCAACAACATTTACCCACCCACCTCCCTGGACAGATGGTGAGCATCCGGAGGGGAAGAGTCTTTTATAAATGTTGTCCCTCTGCCTAAAATGCTTTCTGTACTTGTACCTGCCTGGAAGACTCCTTGCACACTTTATGCCCAGCTCACCAGTTCCTCACTGGAAAAGGCTTTTCCTCCCTCTGGCAGAGTTGTTCTCTCTCCCCTTTATGCCAATTCTTTACCTTGTGGGTTGTATTAGTCTGTTCTTATACTGCTATATAGACCTGAGACTGGGTAATTTATAAAGAAAAGAGGTTTCATGGGCTCATAGTTCTGCAGGCTGTACAGAAAGCATAGCAGCTTCTGCTTCTTGGGAGGCCTCAGGAAACTTACAGTCATGGTGGAAGACAAAGGGGAAGCAGGCACGTCTTACGTGGCTGGAGCAGGAGCGAGAGAGAGAGCGGGGAGGTGCCACTTTTAAACACCCGGATCTCACAAGAACTCAACAGCACCAAAGAGGATGGTGTTAAACCATGAGAAATCACCCCCATGATCCAATAACCTCTCACCAGGCCCCACCTCCAACATTGGGGATTACAATTCAACGTGAGATTTGGGTGGGGACACAGTCCAAACGATATCTCATGTGGCTCTACTATACCATCCATCACCCCAAATTACAATTCCTCCTTTAATTGTCAGGGTCAGTCCCTGGACTGTGAGCTCCCTGAGGACACACAGTGCTACATCAAGTTACTTGGAGCCCTAGGACAACTTCCATCTCAAGTGATCCTCTTCCATATCAGGGAATCATCAAATGCTTGCTGAATAAATTGCCACCCTCTTTGGACTTTGAAAAACGAAGTATCCTTTTCTCAAAAATATGTAGGAGAATAACATTTATACCCTGTATTAGTTTTTTAGAGCTGCCATAACAAAATGCCACAGAATAGATGGCTTAAACAACAGAATGGATTTTCTTATAGTTCTGGAGGCTGAAAGTCCAAGATCGAGATGTTGGCAGGGCTGGTTTCTCCTGAGGCCTCTCTGCTTGGCTTCTAGATGGCCAGCATTTCGCTGCATCCTCACCTGGTCTTTCCTCTGCTTGCATGCATCTGATGTTTCTCTGTGTGTCCAAATTTCCTTTTCTTGTAAGAGCATCAATCAGATTGGATTAGGGCCTACTCCAATTGCAATTGTGTAATTTTAACTTAATCACTTGTTTAAAGATCTTATTGTGAATATGGTTACATTATGAGGTGCTGTGAATTAAGTCTTCAACACATGAATTTTTGGGGAACACAATTCAGCCTGCAACAACCCTCATCTGGAGAATACCCTAAATGGACTTCAACAGTCCAGAGTATCTTGTCCTCTTAGGAGAAAACATGTTGGAATGAGAATGAGAAGGACAGGGGAAACTAATATTTGTTGCTGATGAGATTTCCTGTCTACTCACCGTGTGCAAGGGCCTATTCGAAGTTCAACCTCAAAATGAAATACAGGAAGATAAAGGAACTTAGAATATATGGCTAATGAGTGGTAGAGCTAGGATTTTAGGTTTAGAACCTGCATAGAGTGTGCCTCCACCCCCATCTCAGTTAATTGTCACGAATGCCTTGTGAGGGCTTATATCCAGTTTTTCGTTTTAACTGATAACAAATGAGCAAGCATTTATACATAGCACTTTACATAACAGGTACCCTCTTAGGGATTTTACATATGTTAACTCATTTACTCCTCATGATCCTGCCATGAGGCAGATACTGTTGTTCTTATCACCCCATTGAGAGGTTACCAGCAAGGAGGTGGCAGAGGGGGAGTCAAGCCTGGGGAAGTCTGGTTTACAGAGTCCAGACCCTCAGCCACCATACTGACCTTCCTCTTGGGAAGCGGGGTAAGTAATCTGGCCAAGGGCAATGTCACTTTGAAAGGGCGAGACTGGGATTTGTACCTGGCCCCTCTGACTGCAGACTCCAGCCTCCCTTGATGGCTTCACACCACTGTATCTGCCTGCATGTGATCATGTTTCATCCTCTCATCACATACTTGGTGATGCAAACAAGTCTCCTAGCTCTGATTTTAAGAAAAAAGACTCTGATGCTGAAGAAAAAAGGTTTGGGAGAAATTTGCCTTTGTGCAATGTTATTGGATAAACTCTGTTTTTCCTTAGACTCATTAGCTGCATGTTTACAATTTCCAAACACAATTGTCTTAAAAAAAATCAGACTGGTTAAATTTGGAAGGAGGTGGGTGTCTTCAGCAGGCTAGCAGTTGTGTGCAGATTGACATTTTTATATTTATAAAAGTTGTGTCTGCCACCAGGCCTCTAGGAACATTTGCACATTTAAAAATATAAATTAGAAAAATATGTTGACATAATTGTCTGCCCTAAGGAATTTTTCCTTCATCACAGTCTTAATGGAAAAAATTCTCACTTGGCTCTCCCTCCCCAGGCAGAAGTTGGAGTGTGCAGATGAGACTTTCCATATGCTTAGAAGTTAGCAAGAAATGCTTTGCATCAACACGAAGTCATTTCAGATGAGAGTTCCCCATAGGCAGTGACTCTGTCCTTCCTTCTCCTGCTGTTCTCTCATCTCACAGTATCCTACTTTCCCCACCTGCAGGTGTCTATGGCTTTGCCTTGGCATCCCCTTCTTAAACGTCTTCAATGGCTCTTTGACCCCTAAGGCTATGACTGGCCTAATTTAAGACCCCTTGAGGATCTGGATCCTGCGAACTCCCTGGCTTCCTGCCTTTCCTTTCTCCTCCTCATATATCCCATGTGCCCACCACGTTTGTTCCCCTCTGCTCCTGAGCACTGTTGACCTCCTGCTGGTGCCTGGGATCTGCCCTGCCCCAGCCTCTGTTCCCATGCTGGCCATTCCATGAAGACTTGATGGAGCTCCCAGTCAGAAGTGACCTTTCTCGCTTCAAAAAGCCAGTAATGCTTTATCTGTGCCTTTGGGACCCTGCATTACAAAGTCCTCAATGTTATTTTTGCACATTTTTTGACTTCTAACATCTCAAAATCCCAAGGAAGACAAAGGGTCTGAAAAGAAAATAGCCAGTGTGTCCCAAGTAGGCACTCAACAAATGATGGTTGTCCCTCTTTTTTTACTTGGAAAATTTTATCCACATTGCTTGGTTCATAGTTGATGCTTAATAAATATTTGTTAAATGAAAAGGTACATTGAGACAGAACTTAGAAACTTAGAAAAATGAAAATTTTTTAATTGGGATAAAATATACATAATTTACCATCGTAACCATTTTTATGTGTACAATTCAATGACATTAAATGCATTTACATTGTTGTGCTACTATCATAACCATCCATTTCCAGAACATTTTCATCTTGCAAAACTGAAACTCTATACTCATTAGACGAGAACTTCCCTTTCTTCCCTCCCCTCTGCCTCTGGCAACCTGTGCTCTTTCTGTCTCTATGAATCCACCTATTCTAGGTACCTCACATAAGTGGAATCATACAATAGTTCTTCTTTTGCGTCTGGCTTATTTCCACTTAGCATAATGTTTCCAAGGTTCTGCCAGGGCGTAGCATGCATCAGAATTCATTCCATTTTAAGATCAAACAATATTCCATTGTATGTATATACCACATTTTATTTATCCATTCATCTGTTGATGGACACTCGAGTTGTTTCTACATTTTGGCTGCTGTGAATAATACTGCTATGAATATTGGTATACAAGTATCTGAGCCCCTGATTTCAATTTCTGGGGGTATATAACCTAGAAGTGCAGTTGCTGAATCCTCTGATAACTCTGTTTAACTTACTGAAGCACCTGCATACTGTTTTCCATAGTGCCTGCATCCCTGTACATTTCCACCAGCAATGCACGAGGGTCCTAATTCCTCCATATTCTTGCCATCATTTTCCATTTTTTTTTGATAGCCATTGTAATGGGTGTGAGGTGGTATCTCATTGAGGTTTTCTTTAGAGTTCCCCAATAATTAGTGATATTGAACATCTTTTTATGTGCTCATTGGCCATTTGTGAATCTTCTTTGGAGAATGAATTAAACTCTTTAAGTCCTTTGCCCATTTAAATATATTTGTGGTTGTTTTTAGCAATTTGTGTTTTGTTTTAAAACATCTCTGGAGTGTGCTTTTTTGAGCAGGAAGTGTGTGGCTGGATCTGAGGCAAGCACTCTTTTCAACACAGCAGGCAGTGTGATCCTGTGAAAGCCTAAGTCAGATCAAGTCATTTTTCTGCTCAGATCTTCCCAGTGAGGTCCAGGTCACTCAGAGGAAGAGCCAGGGTTCTTGGAGGGGCCTGTAGAGCCCTGCGTGACTCACAGTCCCCCACCGGCTCTGAGCTCCTCTTCAACTTCCTCCTATTCACTCGCATTGGCCAGCCCCAGGGCCTTTGCACTTGCTGTTTTCTCTGCCTGGAGCACACTTCCTCAAGAAACTGATGTAGGGCAGGTGAAGCCCCAAATTGGGGCTTAGTACAGGAGATCTTTTTGGTTTCACTCAGGAAATAATTTAGGGGCAAGCTGGTGGTGTTAGACAGCAACTTGTATTGAAGCGACAGTGCACGGCAACAGCAGAGGTGCTGTTCCTCACAGAGCAGGGCAACCTTCCAGGCAGTGCATCCAGAGGAGCAGCTCTGAGGCAGTTTTGCAGTTATCTTTATATCTACTTTAATTATATGTAAATTAAGGGGCAGATTACAAAGAAATTTCTAGAAATAAGGTGGTAACTTCTGGGTTGTCAGGCGATTGCCATGGAAAGGGGTGATAATTTCTGGGTGTTGCCATGGCAATGGTAAGCTGACATGGCACACTGATGGGCATGTCCTATGGAAAGCTTCTTTCACCCTGCCCCTGTTTTAGCTAGTCCTCAATTTAGTCCAGTGTCTGAGCCCTGCCTCCAGAGTCCAGTCTTGCCTCCTACCTCAAAACCTGTGTGGCTCTCTGCTTCACCACTGTCAAGTCTTTGCTCAAATGTTACCTTCTCATTGAGGCCTTCCTGGACTATTCTATTTAAAATTGCAGCCCTCTACACTCTGCATTTCCCTAACATTCTTAATTTTTCTCCAAAGCACCAATCACCTTCAGTCTGCTCTATAATGTACTTATTGATATTGTGTAGCTGTGCTGTTCCTTCCTCCCCCAAGGGCGTGAGCTCCGTGAGGGCTTTGTTCTGTGTTTTATCCCTAGTCTGGCCCCTCAGATGCTTTTAACAAATATTTATAGACTGAATGAATAAAAGCAATCACATGGCAAATCAATTTCCTTTAATTCTCTCTTAATTATAATAATTCTGTATGCATGCTCGTCTCGCTTATGGCAACCTTGGCTTCCATACACTCCCAATCACATTGACTAACATTGTGGGGGAAATATTTATGTTCATCCACTGTCGACAGTGGGAACACTGTCGACAGTGGATGAACATAAATATTTCCCCCTTTTTGTGTGTCTGGGAAGATAAAAGGTTATGAATTTAAGGAATAGTATAAAGTATAAATAAGAACTTTATGTTTTCACTGGTTTATCATTCACTGTGAGCCCCTTATTTCCCAGGCACAGTGCTAGAAGCTGTCTCTATGAAACCACAGTCATAGCTAGTAAACTTGTAAAGAAATACATACATAATTCAGATAGGGGTAAGTTATATGAAGAAAAAGAAAACAGTGTAGAAGAATGGAGACAATGCGGGTAGGGTGGAGGGTTGTTTACTTTACATAGGATGGTCAGGAAAACTTGAGGAAGGGACACTGGAGCAAAGACCTAGTGATGGGAGGGAGCAAGTCATAGAAATATGGGCAGAAGATACATATATTTTTTAATACAGAGGGAGCACCAAAGGTTTTGAGGCAGCAGTGAGCTTGATGTGTTGGCAAACGTTATCTCATTTGATGATCCAGACAGTTTTAGGCTACCATCTTCAAGGTACAGACAAGGAAGGAGGGCAGAAAGAGGGTATATTAGTCAGGGTTCTCTAGAGGGACAGAACATATATATATATATAGAGTGGAGTTTATTAACTCATACAATCACAAGGTCCCACAATAGGCCATCAGCAAGCTGAGGAGTGAGGGATCCAGTCCAAGTCCCAAAGCTGAAGAACTTGGAGTCCAACGTTCAGGGGCAGGAAGCATGCAGCACAGGAGAAAGATGTAGGCTGGGAGGCCAAGCCAGTCTAGCCTTTTCACGGTTTTTTGCTTGCTTTATATTCTGGCTGTGCTGGCAGCTGATTAGATGTTTCCCATCCAGATTAAGGGTGGGTCTGCCTTTCCCAGCCCACTGACTCAGATGTTAATCTCCTTTGGCAACACCCTCATAGACACAGCTAGGATCAATACTTTGCATCCTTCGATCCAATCAAGTTGACACTCAGTATTAACCATCACAGAGGGGAAGATCTCTGACATAGTTTGGATGTTTGTCCCCACTTAACTCTCATGTTGAAATGTAATTCCCAATGTTGGAGGTGGGGCCTGGTGGGAGGTGTTTGGATTATGGGAGTGGATCCCTCATGAAGGGCTTGGGCCATCCCTTTGGTAATAAATGAGCTTTCACTCTGAGTTTACATGAGATCTGGTCATTTGAAAGTGTGTGGCACCTCTTCCTCCTCTCTCTCTCTCTCTCGCTTGCTCCTGCTTTTGCCATGTGATGTGCCTGTTCCCCCTTTGCCTTCTGCCATGATTGTGAGCTCCCTGAGGGTTCACCAGAAGCTGAGCAGACACCAGCACCATGCTTCCCGTACAGCCTGCAGAACAGTAAGCCAATTAAACCACTTTTCTTTATAAATTACCGAGTCTCAGGTATTTCCTTATAGCAATGCAAGAATGGCATAACACAGTCTCAGTCCCTCCTTCATAAAAGAAGACTAAATCTATGCTTTTGAAAGTGTGAGTCCAAAAAGGGCCACCTAAGAATCACCTGGGAGCTTGTTAGAATCATCTGGCACCACTCAGACCTACTCTGTCTGACCTGGGGAGGTGTGGGAGGAAATCTACCTTTTAATAAGCTCTTCTGGTGATTCTGACACACACTAAAGTTTGAGAAGCACTGGACTAGGCAATTTCAGATGGGCCTTCCAGACCTAATGTTCTGTGACTCGATGATGACATCTGGAAGCATGAAGAACTGGATAGGGGCAGTCCCCAGGTTAGGATGAGAAGGAGAAAAATGTAGAAGGAAGAACAGATTCAATTCCCATTCAGCATCTTCCTTCTCCTATAAGAGACATCCTTTAAATTATTTACAGCCAGGACACCTCCAGGGTGAAGCCAGAGGCCTGTAATCCTTTTAGAAGCTTCTTTAAATGACACATGATTTTTCCACATGGTTGCTGAAGAAGAGATCTCATACCTCAGCACTTTTAATGTAACTTAATTATTAGACATTGCAAAGGTGAACTGTTAAAAGAAAAAGAAAGTGGTATCTGTGAAATCAGGTGTGGCTGGTGGAGTAACCCTAAGACAAGTGCCTTCACACTTCGTGCTTTAGAACGCTTTTTCAGATATGGGTCCTGGTAGTTGAGGGGCACCATGAATTCCATAAAATTGAATGCAAAATGTTGTCTATAGGCATATTTTATAGAGGAAAGTTCCATAGTTTTCATAAAATATTCAAATACATCCACAGTTCAAAATCATTGAGAGCCATTCTGTTAAAAAGGGTAGATATGGAACTCCATTGACCCAGTGTTAAATACAACTTGAGAACCCCAAAATGGATTCTTTTTTTTTTTTTTTTTATGAGATGGAGTTTCACTCTTGTTGCCCAGGCTGGTGTGCAATGGTGCGATCTCCGCTCACTGCAACCTCTGCCTCCCAGGTAGTGATTCTCCTGCCTCAGACTCCTGAGTAGCTGGGATTACAGGTGTGCACCACCACGTCTGGCTAATTTTGTATTTTTAGAAGAGATGGGGTTTCACTATGTTGATCAGGCTGGTCTTGAACTCCTAACCTCAGGTGATCCACCCACCTTGGCCTCCCAAAGTGCTGGGATTACAGGCGTGAGCCACTGCACCCGGCCCCCGAAATGGATTCTTATCTGGCGTTCTAATCCCGGAGCCTGCCTCCTAGGCTGAATCATACATGAAAAAGAACTATTTCTGTGGGTGGGAATTTTTCTCTGTATAAATAACATATAATCTTAGGCCTTAACATCGTAAATATCAGTTCCATACCTGTAGTATTGCTTTGCTTTCACAGGATGGCTTGGGTGTTTTGCTGATCTCCTTCCAGAGCCACCACCTTGCTTCCACAGCCTCTGCTAATTCTACTTAAAGAACAACAATGACAATGACAATGACATTTAGGTGCACAAAGATAAAATATAAATTACTTTGTTTTAAACTCCTTCTTTGATTTTTTTCTTTTTCTTTTTTTTTTAAGTGAATTATCATTTTTATAAGGCGTTTTTAGCAGAATTCTATAGAAAACACACTCTTGTGGTTTCTGGAGTACAGAGAAAAACAGTATGTATTTATTTCTTCATATAAAGATTTTAAGTTTTTCAATTAATTAAAGTCATGAATGTAAATGATTCTTTTTTCTTTTTATACAATGCCCTCCCGCTACTTTATTCCGTTGGTTTCCTTCTTAATTTTTATCTGTTCATGGGGAGGCAGAGTTTTCACCCTAATAAGCCAAGGTTTGTAATTAGCAGTCTTGATGCTGCTGTACAATCATTTAAGGATTCTGTTTTTGGTCTTGGGGTTAAGCCAGGGGTGGAAAAACTATGGCCTGGGGACCAAAGACAGTTGACTGCATTTTTTTTTTTTTTTTTTTTGAGATGGAGTTTTGCTCTTGTTAGCCAGGCTGGAGTGCAATGGTGTGGTCTCAGCTCACTGCAACCTCCACCTCCCGGGTTCAAGTGATTCTCCTACCTCAGCTTTCCGAGTAGCTGGGATTACAGGCATGTGCCACCACACCCAGCTAATTTTGTATTTTTAGTAGAGATGGGGTTTCTCCATGTTGGTCAGGCTGGTCTCGAACTCCCAACCTCAGGTGATCCACCTGCCTCAGCCTCCCATAGTGCTGGGATTACAGGCGTGAGCCACTGCGCCAGGCTACTGCCTATTTTTATGCGGCTCAAAAGTTAAAAATGGCTTTAACATTTTTTAAATGGCTGAAAAAAAATTCTGTGATGTGTGAAAAGTATACACGTTCAAATTTCAGTATTCATAAAAAAAGTTTTATGAACTGTAGCCATGCTCTGGATAGGTGTGGTGGGTCATGACTATAATCCCAACACTTCGTGAGGCTGAGGTTGGCAGATCACCTGAGGTCAGGAGTTCGAGACCAGCCTGGCCAACATTGCGAAACCCCATTTCTACTAAAAATACAAAAATTAGCTGAGCGTGGTGGTGGGCACCTGAAATCCCAGCTACTCAGGAGGCTGAAGCAGGAGAATTACTTGAACCCAGAAGGCGGAGGTTGCAGTGAGCCGAGATCACTCCATTGCACTCCAGCCTGGGCAACGGAGTGAGACTCTGTCTCATTTAAAAAAAAAAAAAAAAAAAAAACCCAGAAAGAAATATAACCATGTTTATTTGTTTATGTATTGTCTATGACTGTTTTCTTGCTACTGGTAGAATTGACTGGTTACAACAGAGATGATACTGCCCATAGTGACTAAATATTTACTATTTGGCCCTTTACAGGAAAAGTTTGCTGACCTTTGCTTTGAATTAGGGAATCCCAGAGGGAGTCTATTGGGAAAGTTTTAATAACCTTTGCTGGCTGACTCAGTTGACTGTCTTTTTTTTTTTCCAGAGATAGAGTCTTACCCAGGCTGGAGTTGCAGTGGTGTGATCAAGGCTCACTGCAGCCTCCACTTCTCAGGCTCAAGTGATCCTCCCACCTCAGCCTCCCAAGTAGCTGAGACTACAGATATGCATCAACATGCCCAGATAATTTTTTTTTTTTTGGTAGAGACAGGAGTCTTATTATGTTGCCCAGGCTGATCTTGAACTCTTGGGCTCAAGAAATCCTCCTGTCAGCCTCCCAAAGTGCTGGGATTACAGGTGTCATCCACCATGCCCAGTCCCAGGTTTCTTTCATTTAGTATCTACACCTGGCGGAATTCACCTATCATTGTATCAATTTCTTCCCAGTTACTGGGAACAGCAGTACAATGACCTCAATCAATGGGGGTTTATTGAAGGACTTGATGGAGAAAGAAAGTCAAGGGAAAAGAAAATCTAATCTCCTGCACCTAAGGACAATAGAAGCCTCATTTACTACCATTCAGAATGCAGTGGCAGGTCAAATAGTCTGGTAGTCATTCTGGTGATCAACCCCAGATTTAAAAGTCACTTTTCTTGGATTCAGTACTTGGATTCTCTTTCTTTCGCTTTTTCTTTCTAATGGATTGCCCAAACCTGGCTCTCCAAGTCATGCCTTCTATTTACCTTTCTACTCTACATTTCTTCATCTTCCTCTCTCTATACACAGACCACACCCTCTGTATTTCTGCCGTTTAAGCACCCCAGGGGAGAGGATACAATTGATTGATGAATTGCTTTCTAATTTAGAAGGCCCTTAGAATTCCCACGAGGGAGGTTCTGAATTTTTTAGAGCATCTTTGGTCAAGAGCCAGATGTGTTTTTCTTTGTTCGTTGGTTTGTTTTTTGGTGAGTTGTGCCCATATTATCAGGGTTACATGATAAAGCCACCTCTGAACACTTATAAAACCCCAAGAAAAGGACTGTGGATAGTGCAACATTCCTCAAAATTGGGCCATATGCCAGTGCTCCAGGAAACCTGGGTTTACAAGAAAAATCCCGGAGAGAATTCTAGGCCAGTGAGTCTTCCACCCTGAGCATAATGTATCGCCTTTCCCTACAGACTTGTTCCATGGTCTGTCCTCATCCTTCTGTCTAGCTCTTCACTACTTGGCAAAGTTTGGTGTTATTTGGAAACTCCCGGGACTTCATTGTGCATTTCTTCCTGAAGCTCACATCCTAAAAGGCTTCACAGTCCTGAAGATTCATAGATTAGGATGTCAAGTTCGGTGTATCAAGCAAACTTCGAAAGATAAGAATCTCTCCCTTTTCCCTTCCCAGCACAGGCACCTGTGCTCCTGGGAGGGTGAGGCAGTTAGCCTCTTTTCCCTCCAGTAACCTCCTTCCAAAACATGGGGAGGGGGGCAGCGAAAGGGAGGCAGGAAGCTCTTACCTGGATGGTACTATCATAAGATGGCTTTGAACTGTCTGGCCTTGGCAGATGTCTAAAACTGATTCTTATGGGTGTCTTCCTGGTTTTTTTGGTTACAACTGTCCCAATACAACTTTTTTGGCATGGGTGATGTGTTCACTTTCTTTTCCACAATTCTCTTCCTTGGCCTTCATTTTTCTGACAGGTTCTTCCGCACAGATGTTCACTGTCGGATTCCCATTGTCCTCTTAGGCAGTAGTCAAAGTGACTCCAGGTCACCCACTTCCTCATGGTTTGCATCTGGTCCCTGGGAAGCATTCTTGCATCCCTTGCCCTGACCAATTTCGAGGCATCAGGCTGCTTTCCACATAGCCCTCCATTCTGGTATGCCAGGCCACTTTGGCTGTCCCTCTTGTGAGTCAGGCACAGTCCCTTTTGCCCTCACCACTGCAAGGAACATAGGAAGTTCTCCAAGTGATCCTGTTGAAGCTTTTAGCCCTAGGTTTGAGCTGAGGGAAGAGCACGCATTCCTCCTCCATAAAGGTGGGAGCCAAAATGCACCAATGTTTTTTCTCCAAAGAAATACATTGAGGGTTTCCTCTGCATCTGTACACTTTCAACTCTTTGAAATTGCCACATTGTTATGGTTTGCCTTGCACTCTGTTAGAATCTGGTAAGTATTATATTTTGGCGCCTCAGTTAAAAATTTTAATTTAACATCTTATTATACTCTTTTACCCTTTCCTTTTTTCTGCTTTGCATCTAAAGCATTTCTCAACCCATAATAAGACTCTCCTCTCTCAACAAACTCCATATTACTCTTCTTTCCCATTGTTTTTGAGGTGGAATCCCATCACAGGCTTGTTAAAAATCTAAATTGTTATGGCACAGTATGTAAGCTACCTTGTACAGTGTCTGGTATGTAGTGAATACTCCATAAATGTTAGTGAAGGTTACTGAAAAGTTAAAAAGTGTTACTGAAAAGTTAACTGCAGTATGGAATCTGAAACCATACTAATAAACTTTTCATACTCTGTTACATTAAAAACCGTTGGTTATTTTGCACTGTGAGTGCCGCTTTCATACATGCATGGATAAAACATCATGCGTTAGCCATTTGGAAAATATCAGTTGACTGAATTGTGCAGATTTTTGCAATGTTAGCACTTTTCATTATTCCAGATAAAAAAATCACATGCATTGATATCACCATCAATCTCACTAAGAGTCTTTAAGCATTGAAAAGCTGATGAATACAAATAAATATGAGGATGAGTGCGATTTTTCCAAAATTCTAATTTTTGCTTGAAAACTAGAATTTTATCATTGGCAATAAACACTGTCAGTGATTTCCTTGGTGACAGGCTTAGTTTGTTTATTTTTGAGAAAGTGTCTGCCAAATATCTCAGTCCAAAAAACCATGTGTTTGTCAGTAGTTCTTTCACATAAAAATTGTGCTCCATGAATACAAGTGGCTGGCTCAGCCAGCAGTTCGGTTATACAAGTACTTTTCCTTAGGACAGCCATTGCTCTTTGCTTTGCAAAAGTGCTTTATGTGTACTTTCCACTTTACCACACAGAATGTTAAAAATATGTATGCTTGAGTTAGAAACTTAACTTCAGTATATAAATAATTTTGACCTTGTGTTCTCCCTAGTTTCAAGGACCCTCAGGGATCCACAGACCACACTTTCATGTTAAGTGAAATAAACCAGGCATAGAAAGACAAGTATGGCATATTCTCACTTATTTGTAGGATCTAAAATCATAGCAACTGAACTCATGGAGACAGAGTAGAAGGATGGTTACCAGAGGCTGGGAAGGCTAGTTGGGGGTGGGAGGGGGGCAGGTAGTGGGGGTAGTGGGGGTGGGGATGGTTAATAGGTACAAAAAATTTAGTTAGAAAGAATGAATAAGACCTACTATTTGATAGCACAACAGAGTGCCTATCATCAGTAGTAATTTAATTGTACACTTTAAAATAATGAAAAGACTATAATCAGATTGTTTGTAACACAAAGGGTAAATGCTTGAGGGGATGGAGACCCTATTTTCCATGAAGTGATTATTACACATTGCATGTCTGTATCGAAACATCTCATGTACCCCATAAACACATATACCTACTATGTACTCACAAAAATTAAAAATGAAAACAGAATTCATGAAAAGTGCCTGGTGGTAAAGAATACAATGACTACTAGTACAGTGTGGTGCCGTGGTCTTGACCCGGTTCATGCTAAGATGCCAGCAATTTTACTCCCATTGCTTCTGTACCATCGCTGCAAATGTCCACACAGTGAAAAAGGCAAATAACCTATTAACCTTTTTATACAAATAGTTTTGACTTTCTGTTTTTTTTAGTCTCAAGTACCCCCAGGGATTTATAGATCACACTTTAAGAACTGCTGATCTTGAACATTCCTCCAATCTTTCTTTTTTTAAATAAATAATCTTCCATAAGATTGACATTTTGGCAAATTCAGGTCACTTCCTTTATAGAATGTCCCACAATTTAAATTTTCTGATTGTTTCATTGTGTTCGGAATTCAAGTTAAACATTTTTGGCGAGAATACTTAGGTGAGATTGTGTGTTTCTTATTCTATTACATTAAGAGGTACATAATGTCAGTGTGTCCTATTATTGGTAGTGTGTGCTACTGTTGCAGAATACAAATCTATTCTACATTAGATTTCTTTACTGGGGTGGTGCTGGAGAGATCTCTTCATAGTAAGGGTAACATTTCACCTTTGAAATTTATAGTACTAATAAATTAATAAATAATTACCTGTGAAATAACACTTGGAGAATATTGATGAATATCCTGTTCTGCAGAATGGTTTTAGTATCCATTGATGATCCTTGCCTAAATCAGTGCTTACATGGGAGACTGAAAAATGGTGATTTTGAATTCTATCATTCCTTTTACAGGAATGTGAAAGGTGTTATTCTGTTATGAAGTTTGAACAGCACTTCATCCCACCCCATTCTCTTTGTAGACTCTTGGGTTCCTTTTAAAAAAATCCAATGAATTAATTTGGTAATTGAGAACACTTTCAAAAATTTGAGTTCAAATTGGTACCTACAATTCAAAAAAAACCTACTGGAAAATTTCTTAGCTTTGGTCTTTCTAAATTTACATATTTGTAGGATAAAACAAATGAGTAAATATATTGATATTACTGGCAACTACAATGAGAACCTTGGTTCCCAAGTACATCAGTATATTTACTCAGCTGTTGCATGCTACAAAGCACACAAAATATATTCAGTTTTCTCATGAAGTTTACTAACTTTGTTCATCATATTCTTTTGTTGTTGTTGTTGTTTTGAGACAGAGCCTTGCTCTGTTGCTCAGGCTGAAGTGCAGTGGTACACTCTCAGCTCACTGCAACCTCCACCTTCTGAGTTCAAGCAATTCTTGTGCCTCAGCCTCTTGAGTAGCTGGGATTACAGGTGCATGCCACCACATCTGGCTAATTTTTGTATTTTCAATAGAGATGGGGTTTCACCATGTTGGCCAGGTTGGTCTCAAACTCCTGACCTCAAGTGATCCGCCTGCCTCAGCCTCCCAAAGTGTTGGGATTATAGGCGTGAGCCACTGCAACTGGCCTGTTTTCATCATATTCTTAACATTTGCTAATTACTGTCCTGAAAAATAGGAATTTATACAAAGAAGAGTTTTAAGAAGTAATTATAAAAAGCAAGGGCAGCAAAAGTTGATTGGTGGGTTGCCATGACAACTGAGCTTCACTTTGCTAGTTTCTTCAGGAAACAAGCCCTCCAGTCTCCCTGAACACTGGGAGCCTGAGGTGGACTCTGACTCCAACAAGTTCAATGAATTGCAGTCATCTTTCACCTTATGGCACTTTACCTTCAAATCCTACCCAACAAAAAGCCCTACAGCTTTTTGCTACTTCCTTATTCTTCCTGCCTGGAGTATAAATTGAGGCTTGAGGAGGGGCAGCCATCTTTGCTACTGTGGGGCAACACACAGACAAGAACCAACATTGTCAGCACAATGGAATAGAAAGAAGGACAATGCTGAGGTCCCTGAGGGCCCACTGAAGTTCTGCTGCCAGGAACAGTCTACCTAGGCTTCTTGTTATGTGAGACAAATACATCCATTTATTTAAAGAATTGTGATTTGGAGTTTTTATCATTATAGAATATATTCCTAAGCTATACAGACGGTATATTAAAAAGTACAAAACTCTATAGTGACACTGCCTGTACTTATGTTGTTGGCAGCTTCAACTAGGAGCTCAGTGTATGATGAGGTGTGTCCCTGACCACATAGAGCCTATATTCTAGTAGGGGAGACAGGCAACACACATTAGCAATTATGTATATGATACACATTTATGTAATGATGAGTGCTATGAAGGTAAATAAAGCAGGCTGTGGGATTGAGAGAAATGGAAAGTAGACTTGTAGACAGGATTGTGATGGAAGTTTTTTCTAAGGAAGGGAAATTTGAGCAGAAACTTGGTGTGGAGAAAGGAACCAGCTAGGTATCTGGGGAAGCGTGTGTCAGTCTGGGATCTACAAGGGCAAAGTCCCTGAGGCTGGGCATGGTTTGCATGTTTGAGGAACAAGAAAAGGTCAGTGTTGTTGGAGCACAGTGCTCACAGGGGAGTGTGGCAGGAGAGGACTTCAGAGATGCAGGGAAGGGCCATATCATGTAAGTCATCTTAAGGTGTTTAGATTTTATTGTAAGCCATTAGAGGGTTTTAAGCAACAAAATGTTATGATCTGACTTGGTTTTTAAAAAGATCACTCTAGTGATAGAGAATAGATTATACTGTGGCAAAGAGTGGAAGCAGAGAGCCCAATTAGGAGGCAATTGCAATAGTCTAGGCAAGAGAGGTGATGTTAGGTTCAATTAGGATGGTGACACTGGGAGTGGTAAGAAGAAGTCAAATTCAAGATCTGTTTAAAGATGAAATGAACATGGGCATGAAATAGAGGAGTCAAGGATGATGCCAAGGTTTATGATTTGAGCAATGGAAAAGATGGAGCTGCTGTCAACTGAGATGTGAAGGCTGCAGGTTTGGGGATGGGAGGAAGACTGGGGTTCCAGGTTTCCTCTTGGACATGTTGAGTTTGAGATGTTAAACGTTCTAGTGGTAGTACCCAAATCTGTAATTTTAGAGAGAGGTCTGAGTTGAAGATAGGGATTTGTAAGTTTTCAGCATATAGATAGTATTTAAAGTCATGGGACTAGAGTAAATCAATAAAAGAATGAGCACAGATGGAGAAGAGAAAGAGGACTAAAACAGCTCTTGCAAGCTTCAAAATAAAGAGGTTAATGAGAAGATATTGAACCAGTAAAGAATATTGGTAATGTTGAGTGAGTGTGGTGGTGTACATCTGTAGTTCCAGCTACTCAGGAGGCTGAGGTGGGAGGATCACTTTGAGCCCAGGAGTTTGAGGCTGCAGTGGGGCTATTAGCAAGACCCTGTCTCTATAAATAATAATAATAAAGTAAAAATAAAGAATCTAAGAAGAAGCAGCCAGTGACATACAACGATGTGGTAGATTTTATCATTGCCCTAATTCTCCACTTCTTACCTGTAGTAGAATTATATGTCCACACCCTTTGTCCCATGACTTGCATGAATCTGACTGGAGTTGGCAGACTGTTTTTTCACCTCATTTAGTACTGGGCTTAGCCATGTGACTTGCTCTCGTGGTGAAATATTGGTGGAATCGACGATGTGCCTGTTCTAAGCCAAGATCTCAAGAAGTGTTGCTTATTTCTGTTCACCTCTCCTGTGCCTCCATAATCTGTAATGAGAATAGCACATTCCAAGAAATTGCTGTCTGCCTAGCCTGGGTCCTAGGATGTAGGGCTATAGAGCAGAACCGGAAGCTAGAGTTCAACCTGGCCCAGCTCAGCCAACCAAGATCAGCTGCGCCACAACCAACCATCAGACCCGTGTGTGAGAAATGGAATGGTGGTCTTTGCAAGCCATTAAGATTTTGGGATTATTTGTTGTGCAATGTTATTGCAGCCCAAACCTAAGGGATAAGAAAGAAAGCTGAGAGAGTATGTGGTCTTAGAAGTTAAGTGAACAAAGTGCTCCAGGGAAGGGTAGTGATGAGCCATTTCAAATACTGCTATTAAATTGATGAAATTTTCAGCTGGGAATTGCCACTGAATTTAGCAGCATGGAAGAATTGGTGACCTTAACTGGAATAGTATCAGAGGACCGGAGATAGGTAGATGGAAAGTCTGGGTGGGTTTGAGAGAGAACAGAAGATGAAGAATTGGAAGCACTGAGTTTAGCAAAATCTTTTTAGGAGTTTTAGTGAAAAGAAATAGAGCAGTAGCTGGCAGAGGAAGTGGGGTCCAGAGAAAGTTTTGTTTTAATTACAGAACAGGAGCAATAGCAGCATGTTTGTATACTGATGGAAGCAATCCAGAAGAGAGCAAAAAATGATGGTGACAATGTCAGAAGTGAAGGGGACATTACTGGAGGGATGTGCTTGAGCAGGCCAAATGCATGGAATCTAGTGCTCTATAAACTTCTTCATGGCAGACTTTTTGTCTCATGAATCTTTATCCACCCCAGTATCTCCCACTGGAGTATGCAGTTTTCCATAAGTAAGAATGAATTTACTTGAGTTGAACATATTTTCAAAAAGACTGGTGAATAGCAGTGTGGTACCAACTTTGTTGGGCCTGAAACCCAATTCAACTGATGACCTGTGCTCAAAATCTGATGCAGACTTCATAAATACTCAGATCAGCACTTTCCTTCTTAATTGCAAGCCCTTCCATTTGGATACCACTTATGAAGGAGTGGCAAATTTCCTTTATATAGAAAAAAAAGAATAATGGGTCAGTAACTGCAGCTTCTTTCCATAAAATTGCAGTGGGACAGATGCCAAACTATTATGATCCTTTAGTTCAAGCAGACTTATTTCCCTCAAAATGGAATTCTTATCTCTTTGCAGAAAGTCTTTATTCCAATAAAAACTCTATTACTAGTATCATCCAGCTCTCTAACAACACTCTGAAATCATTAAGATCTGCAAGTCTGTATCCTACACGTCACCGATGTAGCAATCTTATAAAAACCCACAATATCATTCATTCCTTCAAGCATCTACAAAGATTTCTGGAGTGCTCACCATGTATAAGGAATGCACTGTACAAGCCCTCCAGGTCCCAAGTATTAAATGATAGGGTGATGTAGCTGACTTCTTTCATATCGTCCCTAGAGCCAGACTCCAACCACGAATGTAACACATATTTGCTGACTCAACCCTTCCCCATCCAGTCATCCCATGGCATGGGACAAAAGTGACAAACTTATGGGTGAATGTTCCCAGCTGAAGGAAGAGTGCCAGATTTAGCAACAAACAAACAAATGAAAAATAGAGTACCCTGTTACATTTGAATTTTAGATAAACAATAATTTTTTTTTAAGTATACATATGTCCCAAGTATTGTATGGTTCTGGAGAATCAACTTAGCCTCCTCTTGGTAGCATTCTTCAATTGGTTCACCTCTGCAGGATTTTCCTTTTTTGAACTATCTCACCCATTCAAGAATAGCTGCTCTGGCTCTGTAACATTCCAAGCTTTTGTATTGTGGACATTAATGGCTAAGAAATAGAAATAGATCCCCAGGTTGCAAGTGCAGAGAAGGGTATAAATGAAACCAAGCATAAATGGACACAACATTAATTTTTGTTTCCTCCTCTCTCCCTAGTTGTTCTTTATATCTTCTGCCAAAAAAAATTGCGAATCTCTCATCTCTCAGCACCAAGCTTGTGAGCATGTTTCAGAAAATGTGCCACCCTGAACTCGGAGTGAAAGAGAAGCTTCATTGGTTATGTCACTGCTGATGTGAAAGCAAGGCCTCCATCATAAGGGACATTGGTCTATACCTCTCTTTTCTTGTAATGTCTTTGTCTGGCTTTGGTATCCAGGTAATGCTGACCTCATAGGATGAGTTAAGAAGTGTTCCATCCTTTTCAAATTTTGGAAGAATTTGAAAACGATTAGGATTAGTGATTTAAATGTTTGGTAGAATTCACCTGTGAAGCCATCAGGCCCAAAGCTTTTCTTTGATTTTTGATTTTTGATTACTACTTCAATCTCCTTATTAGTTATAGGCTATTCAGATTTTCTATATCTTCTTGATTCAGTCTCAGTAGGTTTTGGGTTTCTAGGATTTGTCCATTTCATCTAAGTTATTCAATTTGTTGCTGTATAATTATTCATGTTACTGTCTTATACCCCTCTTTACATTTTGTGTAATTGGTAGTAATGTCCCTACTTTCTGATTTTTCTTATTTTTTTAATGTGCTTATAGCTATAAATTTCCTCCTTACTACTGCTTTTGCTGTGTCCCACCTGATGAAGTCCTTCCAGACCCTAACCAATTTTTCAGGGTTTGGGCTACCTGCAAATTTGATTCTAGCCTCTTTTCCAGTGTCAGCAGGACACATGGATTTCCCAACTCTTTAATATATGGTGATTTGCCATGTTCTCCAGCTTGCTTTTGAACACAGTAATGCCAATAATGATCTAACAATGATAATAATAATGAGCATTTGTTGAGGTCATAATCTAGATTATTGTGTTGTGCATTTGTTTTTATTCATCTCTAAGTACTTTCTAATTTCTCTTGTGATTTCTTTGATCCATTGGCTAAGAGTGTGTTATTTAATTTACATACATTTGTGAATTTTCCTGCTTTCCTATTGATTTTGAACCTCATCCTGATAGGAGATGATCCTTTATATGATAGCTATTTTTTTTTAAATCGATTGAGACTTAAGTTGTGACCTAATATGTGATCTATTCTGGAAAATGTCCGATATGCGCTTAAGAAGAATGTGTGTTGTTGTGTCCGGAATTGGTGGGTTCTTGGTCTCACTGACTTCAAGAATGAAGCCGCGGACTCTCGCAGTGAGTGTTACAGCTCTTAAGGTGGCGCGTCTGGAGTCTGTCCCTTCTAATGTTCAGATGTGTTTGGAGTTTCTTCCTTCTGGTGGGTTCGTGGTCTCGCTGGCTCAGGAGTGAAGCTGCAGACCTTCGCGGTGAGTGTTACAGCTCTTAAGGCAGCGCGTCTGGACTTGATCGTTCCTCCCGGTGGGCTCGTGGTCTTGCTGGGCTCAGGAGTGAAGCTGCAGATCTTCGCGGTGAGTGTTACAGCTCATAAAAGCAGCGTGGACCCAAAGAGTGAGCAGTAGCAAGATTTATTGCAAAGAACGAAAGAACAAAGCTTCCACAGTGTGGAAGGGGACCTGAGCGGGTTGCCAATGCTGGCTCAGGCAGCCTGCTTTTATTCTCTTATCTGGCCCCACCCACATCCTGCTGATTGGTAGAGCCGAGTGGCCTGTTTTGTCAGGGCGCTGATTGGTGCATTTACAATCCCTGAGCTAGATACAAAGGTTCTCCACGTCCCCATCAGATTAGTTACATACAGAGTTTCCACACACAGGTTCTCCAAGGCCCTACCAGAGCAGCTAGATACAGAGTGTCGATTGGTGCACTCACAAATCTTGAGCTAAACACAGGGTGCTGATTGGTGTGTTTACAAACCTTGAGCTAGATACAGAGTGCCGATTGGTGTATTTACAATCCTTGAGCTAGACATAAAGGTTCTCCACGTCCTCACCAGAGCAGCTAGATACAGAATGTCGATTGGTGCACTCACAAACCTTGAGCTAAACACAGGGTGCTGATTGGTGTATTTACAATCCCTGAGCTAGATATAAAGACTCTCCACGTCCCCACCAGACTCAGGAGCCCAGCTGGCTTCACCTAGTGGATCCCGCACCCGGGCTGCAGGTGGAGCTGCCTGCCAGTCCTGCGCCGTGTGCTCGCATTCCTCAGCCCTTGGGTGGTCGATGGGACTGGGCACCATGGAGCAGGGGGTGGTGCTCGTCGGGGAGGCTCGGCCGCACAGGAGCCCACAGAGGGGGTGGGAGGCTCAGGCATGGCGGGCTGCAGGTCCCGAGCCCTGCCCCGTGGGAAGGCAGCTAAGGCCCGGCGAGAAATCGAGTGCAGTGCCGGTGGGCCGGCACTGCTGGGGGACCCAGTACACCCTCCGCAGCCACTGGCCCGGGTCCTAAGTCCCCCATTGCCCGGGGCCAGCAGGGCCGGCTGGCTGCTCTGAGTGCGGGGCCCACCAAGCCCAGGCCCACCCGGAACTCCAGCTGGCCCGCAAGTGCCGCACACAGCCCCGGTTCCCGCTCGTGTCTTTCCCTCCACGCCTCCCTGCAAGCTGAGGGAGTGGGCTCCGGTCTTGGCCAGCCCAGAAAGGGGCTCCCACAGTGCAGTGGGGGACTGAAGGGCTCCTCAAATGCCACCAAAGTGGGAGCCCAGGCAGGGGAGGTGCTGAGAGCAAGCGAGGGCTCTGAGGACTGCCAGCACGCTGTCACCTCTCATTGTTACTGGGTAGAGTGTCCTGGATATATCTATTAGATATAGTTGATTTATTGTGTTGTTTAAGTTCTCTTTTTCCTTACTTATCTTCTGTCTGATTGTTCTATCTGTTATTGAGAATGGGGGTACTGAAGTCTCCAAATATTGTAGAGTTGTCTATTTCTTCCTTAAATTCTATCATTTTATCGCCCATATATTCTGATGGACTGTTATTAGGTGCATAAATTTTTATGATTGTTATAGCTTCTTGCTGTAATGAAGCATTTGCTAATGTCCATTGTCTCATAAAATTTTAAATTTAAAGTCCATTTTGTCTGATATTGGTGTAGCCACTTCTGCTCTCTTTGGTTACTATTTGCATGGAATAACGTTTCCCATTCTTTCACATTCAATGTATTTGTGCCGTTGGTTCTAAAGCGAGTCTCTTGTAGACAGCTAAAGTTAGATCATGTTTTCCTACTCATTCTGTTAATCTCTGCCTTTTGATTAGAAAATTTAATTCATTTATATCTAAAGTAATTACTGATAAGATGGAAATTCTGTCATTTTGCTGTTTATTTTCAATATGCCTTATAGCTTTTTGTGCCTCATTTCCTGCATTACTGTTTTTTTAGTTGATTACTGTATTTAGTTGATTTTCTTTGTGGTTACCATGGGGATTACATTTAATATCTACTGTATTCATTTGCAGCTCTGTCCCCTCCCCTTTTAGTTATTGATGTCACCAGATTTCATCTATGTCCATTAGTTATCCAAAAACATAAACTAGTAATTGTTTTTGTAAAATGCATTATCTCCTAAATTATGTAGCGCAGTTACAAATCAACATTACATTAATCTAGATTTCAGATTAATAATTTTTTAAATGTATTAATTTCTTAGATCATGTAGAAAACAAAAAGTGGAGTTACAAATCACTGTTACGATAATACCAGCTTTCATAATTGCCTATGTTTTCCTTTACTGAGATCTTTATTTCTTCATATGGCTTTGAGTTACTGTGTGTTGTCCTTTTATGTCAACCAAGAGAACACCATTTGGGGTTTCTTGCAGGGCAGTATATTGGTAACAAACTCCCTCGGCTTTTGTTTATCTGGGAATGTCTCAATTTCTCCGTCACTTTTGAAGGACAGTTTTTGCCAGATGTAGGATTTTTGGTAGATGGCCCTTTTGATTTAGCCCTTTGAATATATCAGCCAACTGCCTTCTGATCTCCGAAATTTCTGAAGGGAAATCTGTTGATGACCATATTAAAGATCACTTGTATATGATGAGTTACTTCTTTCTCTCTTGCTGCTTTCAAGATTCTCTATCTTTGGCTTTCAACAGTTTAATGTAATAGGTCTCAATTTAGGTGTCTTTGAATTTACCCCACTTGGGGTTTATTGAGTTTATTAGCTGTTTTTTTTTTTTTTGGTGTCTTTCATCAAATTTGGGAAGTTTTAGGCCATTATTCCTTCAAATAATCTTTGTTTCTCTTCTCCTTCTGGAACTCTCACAATGCATATGTTGGTTGTCTTGATGGCATCCCACAGGTCTCTTGGGCTCTGTTCACTTTTCTTTAATCTTTTTTTCCTTCTATTCTTCAGAATTAATGATTTCAAATGTTTAATCTTCCAATTCACTTATTTTTTCTTCTTCCTGATCAAATCTGCCTTTTAATTCCTCTACTGCATTTTTCATTTCAGTTATTGTACTTTTTGGCTCTAGAATACCCTTCTGGCTTCCTTTTAGGTTCTCTATCTCTGTCTCTTTATTGATATTTCCATGTTGTTCATATTTTGTTTCTTTCATTTTCTCTACATTTTAGTTCCTTGAGTATATTTAAGACAGTTGTTTAAAAGTTTGTCTAGTCATTCTGCTATTTGGTCTTTCTCAGAGACAGTTACTGTTGGTTTATTTTTTTCCCTAAATAAATCATAATTTTCTGTTTCTTTGTATAGTTTGTGATTGTTTTCTGTTATTGAAAACTGGACATTTGAGTCTAATAATGTGGTATCTATGGAAATCAGATTCTCCATCTTCTCCAGTGTTTGCTGTTTTTTGTTTTGTTTTGGTTGTTGTAGATTGTCTCTGTGCTGAGGATCAGCTGAGGTGAAAATTTAAGGTCTTCTCAGGTATGCAGTTACTATTAAATGTCCTAGTCCTTAATGCCTGGCTCTCAAAAGGGGAAAAAGAAAAATGAAGTGGGACAAGGGCCCTGGCCCTTTAAAACCCCAGAAAATCACTTCCAGTAGACAAATAGGGGCTTGCAATAATAGGGGGTTTGGGAAGAGTACAAAAATGGCTGGCCACCTCTGTCTTGCACTCTGTTATTAGAAGCAACCGTCAGTAATCCGATCACAGATTCTGATATTTGGGGGACAGGATCCTTATTGCCCTCCTTGCCTTCTGTCCTATAAGCTGCATGCAAGCAATTCTAGGAACCAGTCATGGCTGCCTGCCACAGGGCTGGGAGTGGGGGAGTGGGTAGCCTCTGCTAAACTAAGAGATGAAATTGACCAAAATTAACTGCAATTTACTGCCCAAGGCTTCCTGTGGAAGTTGCAAGCCTTCAGTATGCCATAGAGATCCAAAATTGTTACATCAGGTAGATACTGCCAGTGTGTTTGTTGTCTAGGTAAGAAATGGATTCCTTGTACTTCCTATTCCACCATCTTCCTGGAGTCCTCTGGCTCCATCTGATTTATTTAATTTTCAAGGGCTTGGCTGAGCTGGAGAGAGCTGAGCTGCCAGGTGTTGGAGTAGCTGATTATAAAAGTACTAGTCAAGTCTTTAATCGTTTATTGCTGTAGTATAATCAAGAGTCTAAGCTGGAGAAAGCATGGCCTTCCCGCCACTCCCAACCCGCCACCAACCCCAGTTCTAGTTTTCCCCATGGAAAGGCATGCTGGTTGAGGGTCAGGTGGATTGACAGATTTTACTGATGAGGTGGCCATGAACAGAAGTATCTGTGCTTCAGTGGAGAAGAGATGCTGGGATAAAGGATAGGGGAAGTGCTAGGAGTGGGAAAGTATTGAGTACTGAGTCAGAGAAAAGAAAAATGAATAAAAAATGATTAATCTTTGCTTTTATTAGATAAAGTAAAATACTTCTCAGACCTTCTTGGCTGAAAAACTCATCAAGGTTAGTTTTTCTCTTGAAGAAAAGGGGAAAAGAGAGCAAGTTTATTTACCAGTAAAAGGTCAGGAAAAAATGTATTACATATAAGAAATAGGACAATAGTACTTAAAATAGTACTTTAGTCTTGACATCTGAGTAAAACTGTGAGGAAAATGAGCCAAGTAAACTCTAACAGGCCTTTAGTTTATGTAAATTAGTTCATAATTGCTGTATAATGATACTTCCTGAAAGCCCATATGATTCTATTGTGATCAGTAAAATCATGGTGCCTCATTATTACACTTTTTTTTTTAATAACAGAGGGATTTATGACATCAAACATCCACATGGCACAAAGCAGAGTAAAAACTGCTAATTTCACTTTTAAACATCTATGTTTTTGGTCTTCAAATAATTCAGTGAGTGGCTGGGCATGGTGGTTCATGCCTGTAATCCCAGCACTTTTGGAGGTCAAGGCAAGTGGATTGCTTGAGCTCAAGAGTTCAAGACCAGCCTGGGCAACATGGCAAAACCCTGTCTCTACAAAAAATGCTAAAATTTGTTGAGTGTGGTGGCATACACCTGTAGTCCCAGCTACTTTGGAGACTGTGGTGGGAAAGTAGCTTGAGCCTGGGAGGTGGAGGTTACAGTGAGCCGTGATTGCACAACTGTGCTCCAGCCTGGGCAACAGAACAAGACACTGTCTCAAAAAAAAAAAATTCAATGAGAATATAGGTTTTTAATAATTTAAGAGTGAAGAAATATAGAAAGAGAAAGCACAAAGAGAAAACTCCATTTACATGGAAATGAATTGTGTTTTATATCCTGGTGTTTTGGATGCTACCATGTTCATACAGGCCTGCACTTGGTCTAAATTTAGTTCCATGGCTGCTTTATAGCTCTAAATAAAAAAGAAATATCTTCAAGTTAGGAAAGAAGAACATGTCTTTAACACTACAGGGTTGTGGAAATTACTCTCTTCACACACAAACATTTAAACAGTTGATCCAATAATTATCACTGTTATTTTCCATTATTTCCCAAATAACAGAAAACCAGATACTGTAATTTTCCAAAATGCCATGTGTAAGGACAGGTTGTTGATTTGAAAGTAAAGGAAAATGGAATGTGTAATTTCCCTGCAGAGCTAATCTTGTGGACTCGAAGCGACTGAAGACATCTGCAGGGAATCCAGGGGATTTCTATTATAGTGCATCTTTTCCTGCTGGCCTTGACTGCAAGAAAACTGTTGTTCAGCTCTTATAAAAACTGAGTATAATGGAGATGGTAAAAAAATCATTGTTTCTTCCCATTTTTTAATTGTGGTAAAATACACATAACATACAATTTACCATCTTAACCATTTTTAAGTACATAGTTCAATAGTATTAAGTACATTCATGATGCTGTACAACCATCACCACAATCCATCTCTTTTGTATGATTTCTTTGCATGAAATATTTTCATCTTACAAAACCGAAACTCTGTATTCATTAAATAATATCTCTTCATTTTCCCTTCCCCTCAGCCCTGGCAACCAGCATTCTACATTTTGTCACTATGATTTTGACTACTCTAGGTACCTCCTCTAAGTAGAATCATACAGTATCTGTCTTTTTGTGACTGGCTTATTTTACTTTGCATAATGTCTTCAAGTTTCATCCATGTTGTAGCATGTGTCAGAATTTCCTTCCCTTTAAAGGCCAAATAATACCTCATTGTTATGTATATACCACATTTTGCTTATCCATTTATCTGTTAGTGGACACTTGGGTTACTTCTAGGTGTAAGTTACTGTGAATAATACTGCTATGAATATGTGTATACAAAATCTCTTCTAGACCCTGTTTTCAATTCTTTTGAATATGTACCCAGAAGTGTAATTGCTGATTTATAATTCTATTTTTAGGAACCTCTACTCTGTTTTTCGTAGAGGCTACATCGTCTTAGAATCTGACCACAGTTCGCAAGAATTCATTTCTCCACATCTTTGCCAACACTTGTTATTTTCTGTTTTTTATTTTTATTTGTTGCTGTTGTTGTTGTCATTGTTAGTAGTCATCCTAAGGGGTGTATGGTGGTTATCTCATCGTAGTTTTGACTTGCATTTCTTCAATGATTAGTGAAATTGAGCATCTTCATGTGCTTGTTGGCCATTCATATATCTTTTCTGGAGAAATGTCTATTCAAGTTCTTTGCCGATTTTTGAATCAGGTTATTTGCTTTTTTGTTGTTGGGTTTTAGAAGTTCACGATATATATTTTGATATTAATCTTTTTTCAGATATATTATTTACAAACTTTTCTTTGATTCTGTGAGTTGCCTTCTTATTCTGCTAACAGCATCTTTTGACGCACAAAAGTTTTGATTTTTATGAAGTCCAATGTCTATTTTTCTTTTCTTTTTAAAAAAACATATTTTAAGTTCAGGGGTAGAGGTACAGGTTTATTACATATGTAAATATGTCATAAGAGTTTGTTGCATAGATTATTTCATCACTCAGGTATTAAGCCTAGTACCCATTAGTTATTTTTCCTGATCTTCTCCCTCCTCCTACCCTCCACCCTCTGATAGGCCCCAGTGTGTGTTGTTACTCTGCATGTGTCCATGTGTTCTCATCATTTAGCTCCCACTTATGAGAACATATGTATGTGCTTTTCTGTTTCTGTGTTAGTTTGCTAAGGATAATGGCCACCAGCTCCATCTATGTCCCTGCAAAGGACATGATCTTGTTCTTTTTTATGGCTGCATAATATTCCATCCCATATATGTACCACATTTTCTTTATCCGATCTATCATTGATGGGCATTTGGGTTGATTCCATGTCTTTGCTATTGTGAATAGTGCTGCAGTGAGCATGTGTGTGCATGTGTCTTTATAATGGAATGATTTGTTTTCCTTTGGGCATATACCCAGCAATGGGATTGCTGGGTCAAATGGTATTTCTATCTTTAGGCCTTTGAGGAATTGCCACACTGTTTTCCACAATGGTTGAAGCAATTTACATGTCCACCAACAGTGTATAAGCGTTCCTTTTTCTCCACAACCTCACCAGCATTTGTTATTTTTTGACTTCTTAGCAATAGCCATTTCGATGGTTGTAAGATGGTATCTCATTGTGGTTTTGATTTGCATTTCTCTAATGATCAGTGATGTTGAACTTCTTTTTCATATGCTTGTTGGCTACATGTATGTCTTCTTTTGAGAAGTGTCTGTTCATGTCCTTTGCCCACTTTTTAATGGGTCTGTTTGTTTTTTTTCTTGTAAATTTGTTTAAGTTTCTTATAGATGCCAGATATTATAACTTTGTCAAATGCCTAGTTTGCAAAAATTTTCTCCCATTCTGTTGGTTGTCTGTTTATATATTTTTCTTTTGTTACCTGTGCCTTTGTTACAATATCCAAGAAATTATTGCCAAATCCAATGCCATGGAGCTTTTCCTGAAAAAAAAATTTCGATCCTGGAAAAAATTTACATCATTATTGACTCCTCATTAAGAATCTTAACATTGCTGGGTGTGGTGGCTCACGCCTGTAATCCCAGCACTTTGGGAGGCCAAGGCGGGCAGATAATTTGAGGTCAGGAGTTCGAGACCAGCTTGGGCAACATGGTGAAACCCTGTCTCTACTTAAAAAAAATACAAACATTAGCTAGGCACAGTGGCATGCACCTGTAGTCCTAGCTATTTGGGAGGCTGAGTCAGGAAAATCGCTTGAACCTGGGAGGCAGAGGTTGCAGTGGGCCGAAATCATGCCACTGCACTCCACTCCAGTCTGGGTGACAAAGTGAGACTCTATCTCTCCCCCTCCCCGCAAAAAAAAGAAAGAAAAGAAAAATCCTAAAATTATTGTCTAGGGACAGTTCAACATCAATTTAGTAACATCTTTTATTTAATCATAATGTGGTCATCTGGCTTGTGCTTAAGTATCTCCATGACAAGATGCTGAATGTTCTTAAAAGAAGATTGGATCATTAATGAAAGAAAGTCTATAAAGACTGGAAATCCTTTATTTTAAGCTGAAATGTTTATTCCTCCTGTATCCACTATCAGCTTTAGTTTTATACCAAATCTATTTAGAGCAACACAAAATAAATTTCTGTTGCCACAATAAATGTCTTCAAATATTCGAAGAGCATTATCCACCCCTCTCCAAGTTTTTTTCTTTTTGGTCCACGCTTTTATTGTGTTAGTTTCATTAAAAGAGCTAAATAATAAAAAAACTGTGCTATTAAAAGAAATGATTAAACTTGCAGGGTATGTATTCTTGGAGTAATTAATATTTAACCAGAGAAGGAGTATAGTGTAGTAATTAAATCTATGGGCTAAAATCCTGACTGTGTCACTTATTAGCTTGTGATGTTGGGCCTGTTACTTAATCTTCTTGTGTCTTAGTTTATTTGTAAGATGAGGATAATAATATTATCTAACTTATAGGGTGGTTATCAACATTTAATTAGTTAATACATATAAAGCTGTTAGAATAGTGCCTGTCACGTAGTAAGTACCCAACACATTTTAGCTGTTATTATTAACTCAAATATATTTATCCTCCATGTAAGACTATTTGATCCATTGGTCAATCAGCAAGTGCCTTTTTTTTAAGTCCTTATAATTTTAGTAACATGTTTACATATGTATATATGCATATAGTATATATTTATAAATTTATTATAAAATTATGTTAGTAAAAAAACTTAAGAAGGTCGATGTTGAAAATTTTTACCAGATGAGAGAATATCCAGATAACTTCAATCTGAAATTTGGCATTGTTGTCTCTATTGAGGGTTCAACCTCAATTTACTTTCTCCAAATTTCTTTGCATTTATTTTTCAAAAGTCACTTGTTCATTTTCAGACATAATTTTGTAACTTGAAGTTTTGTCCAAAATATAATTGGCATGACTTTAAGACATCATAGAGCCCAAGGAGTGGCTTTGCCCAATAAAAGGAAAACATACGGTGCCTCTATTTGTAAGTGTTTATCAATGAGCAAAATATGTATACTTTTTATTTTTAATGCTGTGGATATAAAACACCTACTGGATGCAAGACATAGTGTTTTAAACAGAAAGAATCAGTCTTTCTTCTTAAAGAACTTCCAGTGCAGTGGAAGATATAAAACATTGTTATAGAGAGACCTAACACCACAATTCAACAGATTGTGACTTTCAAATGATGGATATAGACAGTATTTAAAGAGTTCTGCAGAAGCAAGCTCAAAGTGGCTGGGGTAGTCAGGGAAAGCTTCCCAAGAAAGGAAGAAACAAGGTGCAGCTTCATGAATGAGCAGTGGTCAAGCCAGGGTGGGGTGGGCTGTTCCAAGAACATGAACAGGCACAGAGGTAGCAATGCCCAAAACATATTCAGGCGCTGCTGAGCTAGAAGACAGGGTTTTTGTAGGCAAACAGAAAGGGAAAACTGAAAATGATAATCCTGAGATACTGTGGGTCCCTGAATAATAAAAAACTGAAGGCTCAATTATGAAACCAAATTTAAAACATAATGTCAGTTAACCAAAAGATACATTAGATAAACCTGTCAATGATGTTAGATTTTACTGTATATGTTTAAAGATTAAAGGAATATTAATTCATAAATGTAATGTCTTGACTCAATTAAATGTTCATGCTTCAAGAGTTTTGTCAAGATTTTGCTTTCTTAGTTTCTTTTTGTGAACCAAAGCTCAGATATGACTTCAGCGTCGTTTGATTTCAGCCAGAATGCCTGCAGAGGTTGCAAATTAAGACAGAATGAAAGCAGACTAAAGGAAAACCTGCTAAAACAATAAGATTTATAATTCTTATTCCTATGTATTAGCTGGCACAGTCTGTGAAATAGTATAGTGGGGTGAGCATCAAAACACTCGCATTCTTTATTCTTGTTGACTTTCTCATTGAGCACTGATGTAGTCCTAATAATGCTCCTATAATCTAGGTTTCCTATTTATAGATTCATGACAATGAAATGTCCCTGATCACTGTGCAGCAAGGTTGTGTGAAAGAAATATTTGAAAGAAAACGCATTTGGGGTCAGCTTTGGCCTGCTCTGGACCTCTCCAACAGCCCTGTCAGGTTCCTGGTGCCTGCTCTGTCCCCAGCACCCACTGCCCACATTAGAGCAAGAGATCCCTTCAAAGACAAACCTTACCACATTGCTCTTCTCTTTAGAACCCCAAACCTTGTCCGAGTAAAGATATAAAACCCTTGGCCTGGCTCACAAGTTCTGTGAGTCCAGTCCCCACCAAACCCCTGCATCTGCATCTCACACGATGCCCCTGCTCACTCATGCCCATCTCTCACACAGGACACTTACTGCTGCCACAGGGCCTTTGCATATGCTGTTTTGCCACCTCCTTACCCTAAAACTCCTATTCATACCCAGCCCTCACCTCCACATCACTCCACAGGAAAACCAGACCTCCTAGACCATTTAGGTCCCTTGAATATATGCTTCCTAGGAGCCATGTCACCCTTTATGACACCAGTGAGCACAGCTATAATTCTTTATTTGTTTTGTGATTAGTTCTATAATGTCTGGATCCTCCTGGACTGTAGGCTCCATGAGGACAAAGGCAGTGTCTTTTTTCTTCTTATCATATAATTCCTGATATGCGCAGAATGTCTAGTGGGACCCTGAATAATAAAAAGCTGAATATAAGACAGTGAACAATATTTGTTGAGTTTATTCATGAATTTACCAGTTGTGTGGCTTTTAAAACAGAGATAAATAATAACAGCATCTACAGAAGGCTGTTCATCTACTTCACAGGAGTGTTATCAAGATTAAATACATCAACATGAGATGGCAAAGCATGCTATGCACGAATATCAGTCTCTATTACAGAGATTGCTGAGAACAAGATGAGATAATACCACATGAAATCTTTAGCTCATAGGTGAGCTAAAAAGCCTTATTATTTCGGAGGAAACTCTTAGTTTGATAGTATATCAGTGAAAAGCTCCTACAAGACAGGATAATATGCCAATCGACAATATTCAAGATTGCTCAGCCTTTTCAAGGTGCAAATTTATGAATTGTTTATGCTCACATCTTTGTTACTTTTGAGTCCAAACATGACACCAAAGAGTAGCTTTCTTGCTATGGTGTTCTTGCTTGCTGTAGATTGCTGACAAGAGGCAATAGCATTCGAAGCATCTCATCTCCTAAACAATGTGATTGGCTGTCTTTTAAGCTTCTTTGTCTGATTCATCATAGCCAAAACCGGAACCTGTAAAATCACATGGACTTTGGCTTAGAAGACTTTGTTATTACCTTATCAAATAAAGCATCCCTGAATAGAAGCATTGGGAAAATGCCTCAGAGCACTATATTATATTATAGTATATAAATATAATATATATATGTGTGTACATATATATGTATATATAATACAATACATTGTATTTGTTCTCCTGGCAAAAAGTTTCAGCATTTATTTAGTGACACATAGCTAGGGCTGCATGTATCATAGTTTATAGTTGAGTGTGTGTGTGTGTGTGTGTGTGTGTGTGTATGTGTATGTATGCGTATGTGACTAGCAGAGATGGCTAAAAGAAACCACAGAAATGATTTGTTCTTTTAAACAAAAAATTGACTAAGTATATCAAATCATGACCCAGAGCCATATTGTTGAAAGATTTCTTGTTTTTAACTCAATGATGTGTTTTTCAGAAAAATTTCATGAATTACATTTCCAATGAGAAGTAAGAACTTATTTTAAGAGACTTTTTGTGAGATAAAGCTTTTTAAATTTTTTTTGGTAACTATGACTTTGGTAAATGGATCTGACCTGGGGGTCATATTGATACAGTTGACCCTTGAACAACACAGAGGTTAGGGGTGCCCACCCCCATACAGTTGAAAATTTGTGTATAACCTTGGACTCCTCCAAAATTTTACTAATAGCCTACTGTTGATCGGAAGCCTTACCGATAACATAAACAGTTGATCAACACATATTTTGTATATGTGTTATGCAGCCTATTCTTCCAACAAAGTAAACTAAATAAATATTATTAAGAAAATCATAAAGAAGAGAAATATGTTTACTATTCATTAAGTGGAAGTGGATTATCATAAAGGTCTGTATCCTCATCTTCACACTGAAAAGGCTAAGCAGGAGGAGGAAGAGGAGGGGTTCATCTTGCTGTCTCAGTGGCAGGAGGCAGGAGAAAATCTACACATAAGCGAGCCCAGACAGTTCAAACCCATGTTGTTCAAGCGTTAACTGTACTTATAACATCGATGTACTATTGACATTCTGGTTCCATTTTGAGGAATATCAAAGCCTTCCTATGTTACATGCTGTGCTCATTTTCCTTGGTTCCTTTTACCTTTTTTTTTTTTTTTTGGTATTCTACTTACTAGTGCCAGGCAGAATTCCCTGTGGGAAGGCTGAAGAGTTCCAGCTTCCCAGTAAATATGCATAGCTTCTTTGCACCATTGATGTCGTAATATAGCACTCCGAAGGGTGATAATGTGGCCCTTTGTGGGCCACTTGCTGAGTTTTAAGAACAGAGCATCATCATACTTTATTTTTTAAAAAGGTACACTTCCAAAATGTCTAAATTTAGAAGTAGGGAGGCTTGGATCTTGTGCCAACATGGTCTTTGAGATTATATCAAGAAAAAGGTTTTGTTTTTTTTTAGAAAAAAAAGGTCAGATGCCTCCCTGTGTATAAACCAATGCCTCCTTCTAGTAAGACACCAACGTGAGGCTAGAGCCCAAGAATCCTTCTTTCCAAGGAAATAGACTTGCTCTGTCCTCTGCACAGTCCTTTATCCACTCCCATTTCTAAAGTTACTAGTTTCCATGGGGATTAATTCCACACTTGGCTCATTAACCTCATGTTCTAACCAGTTCTTAATTAGGATATCACTTATGATGTCTTAAATATTATTTTCTTTGAGAAAGAAAATCAGTACTGTCCAAATTGATGAAATTGGTGACTATCCTAAGAATACGTCCTTTCTAATTAATTGAAAAGTTGATGGACCATTAGTGCTGAAGTCTCTGAGCAACTTGCAAAGTAAGGAAAAGGAATTTTACCATTTGTACCACTTTTCAGCCACATTTCTCTCTCCCAATGACCTGTAGAGTTTCCCCAAGTTCTCCAGGGCCATGTGATGACTTGGGCTCAGTTGGATGGCCTATCAGTGATGGGCCACTACCTTCTCTGGATCCCCTCTTATCATTTGTAGGCTGTTAAGTACAAAACACTGCATATTTATACAACACTTAAGTTCTTCAATCACTCTTCTGACATATGGTGCTTCTTCATTATTACAGACTCATACGACCAATTATTCAGTTTATAAATCAGCATGCTTTAAAAATTTTTCTCTTTGCCATTGCCTAACTTAGGACCATTTCATTATTTACTTCTATTCACAAAGAGGATAATGGTAAGCAATGATAATAATGATGTTAATTTTTATGTATAATAAAACTGTACCTAGTTATACATTATTATTATACATATGTATTAGTATGTAATAATAATAATATTAAAACCTCTTTCTTTTGCTTTTTGAGGTGTCTTAGTAAAAAAATTTCTGAGGCCCAATATACTAGCTAATGTGACATTTTGAGGTGATCAGGAACACTTATTTCTTCAAATATCTCTGTATCTTATAAGAGAAATAACATAATTGACTATTGCAAAAAGAAAATTATCCTGTAGCAATTTCTCAAGGTTTTTCTTAATTACTACACTTTGAAGATATTGCTTTGAATAAATATACATCAGTTAGAGCTTGAACTTTTTTTAAAGATACAGTTTTATTTTAATGATATTTACTTGAACAGGACTTTAACCATATACTAATAACAACATTACCTTGTATTTGTTTAGTGCAGTACATGGATTAAGATGCTTGCTTACATGATCTCATGTGATCCTGGCAAGTATTTTAATGAGCTACCTAAAACTCCTTTGATTTATAAGAGATAAATACACAAAATGACTTTACAGACTCAGAAGCTAAAGCACAAAGAGATTAAATACCTTGGCAAAGATCCCAGGGCAAGAGTGCCTCAGAGCAAGAGGTATAATCAGGTCCCTTTTCTCTAGATAACTTTCGTCAAGTAGTTTCCAAGTAAGATTTCTGAACTTGGATAACTGGATCAGGTATACATTTTTCCTAATGGAATGATTATTCTTTGCACAGTAATTCTTTTAGGCAGTCTGCTTTAGAATACAAGTTTGATTGGCTGGAGATGAGATACTAGAGAGACAGAACTATAGATAGCAGGTGTCAGGGGAGGAATTGGAGGAACTTCATAAGTATGAAAAACAACGGCGAAGACAAAGTATATTGCCGGCAAGATAAACGGAGTGGATAGTGGGTTGATTTGAAAGTTTAATTGTCTTTCTTGTTGAGGTAGAAGGAAGAGGATTAGACTAATCACTCTCTTAAGGTCTATTATAGTTTTTAATTACTTAATGTGTGTAACTTTTAACTTGCATTATGTTGCTTACAAATCAGTAGGGAAGATTATCTTGCATAAGTGTTTTTATAAATAAGGAGTGTTTTGTTCTTACCAGCCTATAAATGGTTAGAGGAAATCCAGAGAAGGTAGTGGCCCATCACTGATAGGCCATCCAACTGAGCCCAAGTCATCACATGGCCCTGGAGAACTTGGGGGAAACTCTACAGGTCATTGAGGGAGAGAAATGTGGCTGAAAAATGGTACGAATGGTAAAATTCCTTTTCCTTACTTTGCAAGTTGCTCAGAGACTTCAGCACTAATGGTCCATCAACTTTTCAGTTAATTGGAAGGGATGTGTTCTTGGGATAGTCACCAATTTCATCAATTTGGATGGTACTGATTTTCTTTCTCAAAGAAAATAATATTTAAAACATCATAAATGATATCCTAATTTTACATGTAAGAATAAAAGCTAGGCTGCTGAGTTTTAAATGAATTCATTATATTATTATAATCATAAATTATATTATTTATGTTCTAGAAAACAGGAAAATTCTAAATGTACCAGAAAATACAATCTTCTTTGAACTTGTCATATTAAAAAAATTATTAAAACTGAATTTTATTGCAGGCAGGCAGTCTATTAGTCAATGAGAATGAAATCATGTTCTTGAAACCAGGAATCCCGAGAGGACCCACATATCCTCTGAAAGAAGCCAACTGCTCCTGCAGGACCCGGGAGACACCCAAAATACTGTAAGTGCCCCAACTGCTGAAGTAGAAAAAAGAGATCCTCCACACACGCGCACTAGGGAAACTCAAGGTCTGTTTGTTGGAGGAGTTTTTGACCTTACCTGGAGCTGAGTCAATTTAGAGAGCAGGCGGGGCGTGATGGCTCACACCTGTAATCCCAGCACTTTGGAAGGCTGAGGTGGGCGGATCACGAGGTCAGGAGTTTGAGACCAGCCTGACCAACATGGTGAAACCCTGTCTCTACCAAAAATACAAAAATTAGCCAGGTGTGGTGGTACGCACCTATAATCCCATCTACTCAGGAGGCTGAGGCAGGAGAATCACTTGAACCCAGGAGGTGGGGGTTGCAGTGAGCCGAGATCTCACCATTGCCCTCCAGCATCGGTGACAGAGCGAGACTCCATCTCAAAAAAAAAAAAAAAAAAAAAAATTAGAGAGCAGAGTGAAATACAGGGGTAGAGGAAGCAGTGGGAAAGGTCTTGAGAGCTCTCTGGATCCCCAAGCAGGCCATTCCAGCCTGGCAACACAGGGATCCTTCAGGAGGGCAGCCAGAGGTGCAGGGGAAAATGCCACAGGGAGAAGAAAGTCTCCAGCTGAACTTTGTAACAATTTGAACCTGGCAACCTCCTGGCCAGAACTTGGGAGGGCATGAATCTGGTGTGCAGACTCCACAGGTGGGGGAAGAACCAAGCCCTTAGCTTTTGCAGCTGGGAAGTGGGTAGCCTGGGGCAAGTTCTCAAGCCCTGCTCGCCCACTGCCTGGAAACAGACTCGGGGCTATTAGGAGGGTCATGTGGGAGTGAGACCAGCCCTTTGGTTTGCGTGGGAGCTGTGTGAGGCCTGTGATTGCTGGCTTTTCTCCACTTCCATGACAACCTGCATGACTCAGCAGAGGCAGCCATAATCCTCCTATGTACACAACTCCATTCACCTGGGAACCTCACCTCCCATCCCCCACAGCAGCCACAGCAAGACCCACCCAAGGAAAGTCTGAGCTCAGACACGCCCAGCCCTGCCCTCACCTGATGGGCCTTCCCTATCCACCCTGGTAGCTGAAGACAAATGGCATATACTCTTGGAAGTTCTAGGGCCCTGCCCACTGCTGGTTCCTCTCCATACTACCACAGCTGATGCTCTCTGGAAAGCGCCACCTCTCAGCAGGAGTCCAACAAGCACAAAAGTAGAGCATTAAATCACCAAAGCTAAGAACCCTCACTGAGTCCATTTCACCCCCCTGCCACCTCTACCAGCACAGGTGGTAGTATCATAGCTGAGAGACCTATAGATGGTTCACATCACAGGGCTCTGGGCAGACAGGCCTCAGTACCATCCTGGAGCTGGGCAGACTTGCTGGGTGGCTAGACCCAGAAGAGACATTAACAATTACTGCAGCTCTGCTCACAGGAAGTCACATCAATAGGAAAAGAGGGAGAGTACTACATCAAGGTAATACCCCGTGGGACAAAAGAATCTGAAAAACAGCCTTCAGCCCTAGACCTTCCCTCTGACAGAGCCTACCCAAATGAGAAGGAGCCAGAAAACCAACTCTGGTAATATGATCAAACGAGGCTCTTTAACACCCCCCAAAAATCACACTAATTCACCAGCAATGGATCCAAAACAAGAAGAAATCCCTGATTTACCTGAAAAAGAATTCAGGAAGTTAGTTATTAAGCTAATCAGGGAGGCACCAGAGAAAGATGAAGCCCAATGCAAGGAAATCCAAAAGATGATACAAGAAGTGAAGGCAGAAATATTCAAGGAAATAGATCACATAAATAAAAAACAATCAAAACTTCAAGAAACATTGTACACACTTATAGAAATGCAAAATGCTCTGGAAAGTCTCAGCAACAGAATTGAACAAGTAGAAGAAAGAAATTCAGAGCTTGAAGACAAGGTCTTTGAATTAACCCAATTCAACACAAACAAAGATAAAAGCATAAGAAAATGTGAACAAAGACTCCAAGAAGTCTGGGATTATGTTAAACAACCAAACCTAAGATAATCAGTGTTTCTGAGCAAGAAAAGAAATGTAAAAGTTTGGAAAACATATTTGGGGGAATAATCGAGGAAAACTCCCCTGGCCTTACTAGAGACCTGGACATCCAAATACAAGAAGCACAAAGAACACCTGGGAAATTCATCACAAAAAGATAGTCACCTAGGCACATTGTCATCAGGTTATCTAAAGTTAAGATAAAGGAAAGAATCTTAGGAGCTGTGAGACAAAAGCTCCAGGTAATCTATGAAGGAAAACCTATTAGATTAACAGCAGATTTCTCAGCAGAAACCCTACAAGCTAGATGAAATTGGGGCCCTATCTTCAGCCTCCTCAAACAAAACAATTATCAGCCAAGAATTTTGTATCCAGTGAAACTAAGCATTATATATGAAGGAAAGCTACGGTGTTTTTCAGACAAACGAATGCTGAGAGAATTTGCCACCACCAAGCCACCACTACAAGAACTGTGAAAAGGAGCTCTAAATCTTGAAACAAATACTGGAAACAAATCAAAACACAACCTCTTTAAAGCATAAATCACATAGGACCTATAAAACAAAAATACAAGTTAAAAACAAAAACAAAAACAAAAAACAAGGTACACAGGCAACAAATAGCATGGTGAATGCAAAGGTACCTCACATCTCAATACTAATATTGAATGTAAATGACCTAAATGCTCCACTTAAAAGATACAGAACTGCAGAATGGATAAGAACTCACCAACCAACTATCTGCTGCCTTTAGGAGACTCATCTAACACATAAGGACTCACATAAACTTAAAGTCAAGGGGTGGAAAAAGGCATTTCATGCAAACGGACACCAAAAGCAGCAGGGGTAGCTATTCTTATATCAGACAAAACAATCTTTAAAGCAACAGCAGCTAAAAGAGACAAAGAGAGATATTATATAATGGTAAAAGTCCTTGTCCAACAGGAAAATATCACAATCCTAAACGTATATGCACCTAACACCGGAGCTCCCAAATTTATAAAACACTTACTAATAGACCTAAGAAATGAGATAGACAGCAACACAATAATAGTGGGAGACTTCAATACTCCACTGACAGCACTAGACAGGTCATCAAGACAGAAAGTCAACATACAATGGATTTAAACTACACCTTGGAACAAATGGTCTTAACAGATATATACAGAACATTTCATCCAACAACTACAGAATACACATTCTATTCAACAGCGCATGGAACTTTCTCCAAGATAGACCATATGCTAGGCCATAAAATGAGCCTTATTTTAATACCACTATTAAGAATTTGAAAACTTCTTTAATCACATTCAATATAACCAAAAGAACAACACTAATTGACATTGCTTGGGCTTTTTCTCCCTTTGTTTAAAATGTCATTTGTTGAGCAAGGGTTGTATAGTATTATCTACTTGAGGCTGTTAATTTTTCATTACAGTGTTTTGTAACTGTATCCATGAGACCATAATGCATTGTTTTGTGCTCAAATTGTGTTTTGTAATTAAACCATTTTGAATGACGTGTATTTTGTAAGCATTTAATATTTATGCTCTTTAGAATGGAACACAGAAAACAAACCTTATAAGGCCTGATTACATTAATCTGAACCAATAACCTGTGTGGCCCACAAAGTATAATTCTGCTAAATGTTTTTTAAAACACCTTTTTTTCTAATTAAAATCTTTACAAGTGAATACAAAATACAAAAGATAAATGAAACAAAAGTTGGTTCTTCGAAAAGATAAATAAAATCAATAGACCATTACCAAGATTCACCAAGGAAAGAAGAGAGAAAATCAAATAACCTCATTAAGAAACAAAATGGGAGATATTACAACTGACACCACTGAAATGCAAAAGATCGTTCAGGGCTACTATGAACACTTTATACACATAAACTAGAAAACCTAGAAGAAATGGATAAATTCCTGGAAAAATACAACCCTCCCAGCTTAAATCAGGAAGAATTAGATACCCTGAACAGACCAATAACAAGCAGCAAGATCGAGATGGTAATTAGAAGATTGCCAACAGAAAAAAGTCCAGGACCAGATGGATTCACAGCAGAATTCTACCAGACATTCAGAGAAGAATTGGTACCAATCCTTTTGACATTATTCCACAAAATAGAGAAAGAGGGAACCCTTCCAAATTCATTATATGAAGCCAGCATCACCCTAATACCAAAACCAGGAAAGGACATAACCAAAAACGAAAACTACAGGCTGATATCCCTGATGAACATAGCACTGTTAGCGGGGCATGAGGGGACCGAGACTGGCCTTGCCAACTGCATGGGAGCTGGGTGAGGCCTGTCACTACCTTCTCTAAATCTTGAAACAAACCCCAAACCTCGTAGAAGAAAAGAAATAACAGATCAGAGCAGAACCAAATGAAATTGAAACAATACAAAAGATAAACAAAAAGCTAATTATTTGAAAATATAAACAAAATTGATAGACCATTAGTGAGATTAACCAAAAGGAGAAGAGAGAAGATCCAAATAAACTCAATTGGAAATGAAATGGTAGATATTACAACCAATACCACAGAAATACAAAAGATTATTCAAAGTTACTATGAACATCTTTATGTGCACATACTAGAAAATCTAGAGAAGATAAATAAATTCCAGGAAATATACAACCCTCCTAGATTAAATCAGGAAGAACTAGAAATTCTGAAAAGACCAATAACAAGTAGCAAGATTGAAACAGCAATAAAAAAATTGTCAACAAAAATGTGTCCAAGATCAGATGGATTCACAGCTGAATTCTATGAGGCATTCAAAGAAGAATTGGTGCCAATCTTACTGAAACTATTCCAAAAGATAGAGAAAGAGGAAATCCTCCCTAAATCATTCTAGAAAGCCAGTATCACCCTAATACCAAAACCAGGAAAGGACATAACAAAAAAAGAAAACTACAGACCAATATCCCCGATGAACATAGATGCAAAAATCCTCAATAAAATACTAGCTAATTGAATCCAACAGCATATCAAAAAGATAATCCACCATGATCAAGGAGGTATCATACCAGGGATGCAGGGATGGTTTAACATATGCAAGTCAACAAATGTGATATTTTGTATAAACAGAATTAAAAACAAAAATCGTATGACCATCTCAATAGACACAGAACAAGCATTTTACACAATCCAGCGTCCCTTTATGATTAAACCCTCAGCAAAATCGGCATAGAAGAGACATATCTTAGGGCAATAAAAGCCATCTATGACAAACCCACAGCCAACGTTATACTAAAGGGGGAAAAGTTGAAAGCATTTCCCCTGAGAACTGGAACAAGACAAGGATGCTCACTTTCACCACTGCTATTCAACATTTTATGTCCCAGCAATCAGACAAGAAAAAGAAATAAATGGCATCCAAATTAGTAAAGAGGAAGTCAGATTGTCGCTGTTCACCAATGATATTACTGTGTACCTAGAAAACCCTAAACACTTATTCAAAAAGCTCTTAAATCTGATAAATGAATTCAGTAAAGTTTCAGGATATGAAATCAATGTACACAAATAAGTAGCCCTGCTATACACCAACAATGACTAAGCTGAGAATCAAATAAAAAACTCAACCCCTTTTACAACTGCTGCAAAAACAAAACAAAAAACAAAGAAACAAAAAAACATAGGGATATGTCTAACCAAGGAGTTGAAAGACCTCTGCGAGGAAAACTACAAAACACTACTGAAAGAAATCATAGATGACACAAACAAATGGAAACATATCCCATGCTCATGGATGGGTAGAATCAATTTTATGAAAGTGGCCATACTGCCAAAAGCAATCTACAGATACAATGTCATTTCCATCAAAACACCATCATGATTCTTCACAGAACTAGAAAAAAACAATCCTAAAATTCATAAAGAACCAAAAAAGAGCCCGCATAACCAAAGTGAGACTGAGCAAAAAGAACAAATCTGGAGGCATCACATTATCTGATGTTAAACTATACTACAAGACTATGTTACCAAAACAGCATGGCACTGTTATAAAAATAGGCATGTAGATCAATGGAACAGAATAGAAAGCCTAGAAATAAAGCCAAATGTTTACAGCCAACTGATCTTCAACAAAGCAAACAAAAACATAAAGTGGGGAAGGGACACCCTATTCAACAAATGGTGTGGGGATAATTGGCAAGCCATATGTAGAAGAATGAAGCTGGATCCTCATCTCTCACCTTATACAAAAATCAACTCAAGATGGATCAAAGACTTAAATCTGAGACCTGAAACCATAAAACTCCTAGAAGATAACATCATAAAAACTCTTGTAGACATTGGCTTAGGCAAAGAGTTCATGACCAAGAACCCAAAAGCAAATGCAACAAAAACAAACATAAATAGATGGGACCTAATTAAACTATAAAGCTTCTGCACAGCAAAATAAATAATCAACAGAGTAAACAGACCACCCACAGAGTGGGAGGAAATATTAGGAAACCATGCATCCAACAAAAAACTAATATCCAGAATCTACAAGGAATTCAAGCAAACCAGCCAGAAAAAACAAATAATCCTATCAAAAAGTGGGCAAAGCATAAGAATAGACAATTCTTAAAAGAAGATATACAAGGCCAGGTGTGGTGGCTCAAGCCTGTAATCCCAGCACTTTGGGAGGCCGAGGTGAGCGGATCACGAGGTCAGGAGATCGAGACCATCCTGGCTAACACGGTGAAACCATGTTAAAAATTACTACTGTATAGAAATTTTAGTAGAAAAATTGTATAGAAATTTTACTACTGTATAGAAATTTTTTTAGTAGAAAAATTGTATTTTTCTACTAAAAATACAAAAAATTACCTGGGCGTGGTGGCAGGCACCTATAGTCCCAGCTACTCGGGAGGCTGAGGCAGGAGAATGGTGTCAACCTGGGAGGCAGAGCTTGTAGTGAGCCGAGATTGCTCCACTGCACTCCAGACTGGGCGAAAGTGCAAGACTGTGTCTCAAAAAAAAAAAAAAACAAACAAAAAAAAAAACAAAGAAGATATATAAATGGCCAACAAACTTATGAAAAAATGCCTAACATTATTAATTATCAGGGAAATTCAAATTCAAACCACAATGTACTACCACATTATTCCTGCAAGAATGCCCATAATTAAAAACAAAACAAAACAAAACAGATGTTGGCATGGATATGGTGAAAAGGGAACACTTTTACACTGCTGGTGGGAATGTAAACCAGTAAACCACTATGAAAACAGTATGGAGATTCCTTAAAGAACTAAAAGTAGAAGTACCATTTGATGCAGCAATTCTATTATTGGTTATCTACCCAGAGGAAAAGAAGTTATTACAGGTAAAAGACGCTTGCACATTCATGTTTATAGCAGCACAATTTGCAGCTGCAAAAATATGGAACCAGCCTAAATGCCCATCAGCTAGTGAGTGGATAAAGAAAATGTGGATATATACACAATGGAATACTACTTGGCCATAAAAAAGAATGAAATAGTGCCATTTGCAGCAGCCTGGATGGAGTTGGAGACCATTATTCTAAGTGAAGTAACTCAGGAATAGAAAACCAAATATCATATGTTCTCACTTATAAATGGGAGCTAAGCTATGAGAATGCAAAGGCATAAGAATGATACAATGGACTTTGGGAACTCAGGGTGAAGTGTGGGAGAGGGTGAGGGACAAAAGACTACACATTGTGTACAGTGTGCCATGCTCAGGTGATGGGTGCACCAATATCTCAGAAATCACCACGAAAGAATTTTCCATACAACCAAACACCACCTGTTCCCCCAAAACGATTGAAATAAAAAAAGAGATAAAAAAACCCCAACCCCACAATGAGATATCACCTCACAGATGTAAGGAAGGCTTTTTCAAAAAGTCAGAAGATTAGTGTTGGTGAGGGTGTGGAGAAAAGAGAACCTTTGTACATTGTTGGTGGGAATGTAAGTTGGTACGGCAATTATGGAAAATAGTATGAAGATTTCTCAAAAAATTAAAATAGAACTACCATATGATTCAGCAGTCCCACTTTTGGGTATGTATCAAAAGGAAAAGAAACCCCATCGTGAAGAGATATCTGCAATTTAATGTTTATTGCAGCATTATTAAAAACAGTCAAGATATGGAAACAACCTAAGTGTCTTTTTTTAATTAAAAAATTTTTATTTAGAGACAGGGTCTTGTTTTGTCACCCAGGCTAGAGTGCAGTGGCATGATCATAGCTCACTGCAGCCTTGAACTCCTGGACTTATGCTAACCTCCCACCTTGCCCTTGCAAAATGCTGCGATTACAGACACCCAGCCGATAAGTGCCCTTTGATAGATAAAAGAATAAACAAAATATTGTATATACATGCATTTTATTTTATTTATTATTATATATTTTCTGAGGCAGAGTCTCACTTTGTTACCCAGGCTGGAGTGGAGTGGCACGATCTCAGCTCACTGCAACCTCTGCCTCCTGGGTTCAAGCAATTCTCCCGCCTCAACCTCCCTAGTAGCTGGGATTACAGGCGTGCACCACCACACCTGGTTAATTTCTTGTATTTTCAGCAGAGACAGGGTTTCACCATGCTAGCCAGGCTGGTCTTGAACTCCTGACCTCCTGATCTGCCCGCCTCAGACTCCCAAAGTGCTGGAATTACAGGCGTGAGCCACCGCACCCAGCCTAATCCTGCCATCTGTGACAACATGGATGAACCTGGAGGACATTATGTTGAATGAAATAAACCAAACAAATAAAGATAAATGCTGCCTGATACATGTGGAATCTAAAAAAGTTGAGCTCATAGATGCAGAGTAGAATGGTGGTTACCAGGAGCTGGGAGGTGGAGAAAGTAGGGAGAGGGTATGTTGCAGTTAGACAGTGTAAATCTGTTCTAGAGATCTGATGTACAATATGGTGACTATAGTTAAGATTAATGTACAGTCATGCACTGCGTAACAACATTTTAGTCAACAACGGACCAGATATATGATGGCAGTTCTCATAGGATTATAAGGGAACTGAAAATTTCCCATCACCTAGTGACCTTGTAGCTATCCTAATGTCATAGACAACACATCACTCATGTGTTTGAGATGATGCTGGTGTAAACAAAGCTGCTGCACTGCTGGTTACATGAAAGTATAGCACATACACAGCATAATATTTGATGATGATAATAAATGACAAGGTTACTGGTTTATATATTTATTATACTTTTTATTATTTTGGAGTGTTCTCCTTCTACATTAGAAAAACTTACTGTAAAACAGCCTCAGGCAGGTCCTTCAGGAGCTATTCCAGAAACAGGCATTGTTATCATAGGAGATGACAATTCCATGCATGTTATTGTCCCTGAAGACCTTCCAGTGGGACAGGATTTGGAGGTGGAAGACAGCAATATTGATGATCTTGACCCTGTGTATGTCTAGGCTAAGGTGTGTGTTTGTGTCTTAGTTTTTAACAAAATAGTTCCCAAAATTAAAAAAATTAAACAATAGAAAAAAGCTTATAAAATAAGGATATAAAGAAAGAAAATACTTTTGTACAGCTGTACAATATGTGTTTTAAGCTAAGTGTTATGACAAAAGAGTCAAAAAATTTTTAAAAATTTAAAAGTTAATAAAGTAAAATGTTACAGTAAGCTAAGGTTATTATTGAAGAAGAGAACATTAAATAAATAAATTTAGTGTAGCCTAAGTATACAGTGTTTGTAGCCTGCAGTAGTGTACAGTAATGGCCTAGGCCTCCACAGTGACTTACCACTCACTCGCTGAGTCACCCAGAGCAACTTTCAACCCTGCAAACTTCATTCATGTTACGTGCCCTGTACAGGTGTATCATTTTTTGTCTTGTTTACAGCATTTTCACTGTACCTTTTCTATGTTTAGCTATGTTTAGATACACAAATACTTACCATTGTGTTACAATTGCCTGTGGTATTAAGTCAGTAACATGCTATACAGGTTTGTTGCCTAGGAGCAATAGGCCATACTACATAGCCTAGGTGTGTCATAGGCTTCCCACCTAGATTTGTGTAAGTGCACTCCACGATGTTCGCACAACAATGAAATCTCTTAATGATGCATTTCCCAGAACATATTCCCATCATCAAGCGATGCATGAATGTATTATATACTTGAAATTTGCTAAGAGAGTAGATGTTAAGTGTTTTTACCACACACAAAAAGGTAACTGTGTGAGGTAATGGATATGTCAATTAGCTTGATTGCGGTAATCATTTCATGATGTGTACATGCATTAAATCATCATGTAGTATGCCTTAAATGTATACTTTTTTTATTTTGTCAATCATATCTCACTAAATCTGGAAAAAAATCCATATTCTCTTTTAAACCTGCACTGCATAATTCACCTGGGGAGGTTTTGTGTGTTTATGGGAGCTCATGCAGATTATGGGGAGGGCTTTTGTTTATTCTTTCCATACTTGAAAGATTTCCACAGCCTGCAGCTGCTAACACACTGAACTATTTGCTACTCAAAATAACCAAACTGTATTTCCCCACTCGGCAGGAAGCACTGACCCACCTCTCAATCCTACCTGTGTCCCAGGGTCCAGATCAATGGCACTTCCTGCGTATATTGTTCCTCTCATCGCCCCTGCCTCGGGTCTTTGGCATTTGCATGACTCTAGGCATTATTGCTTTCTAGTTTGGATAACAGATAATGATGTTCTGTCTCTGCACCAAGAGCACAATCAGGCTCACACTGCCTAAGCCAGAGAATGCATACCACTAAACAGATTATATTTAGCTTGGTCCACAAAATAAAATTATTTAATAAGTTGTAAACACTGAGAAATTTTACCAAAAAAAAAAAACACCAAACAACCCCTCTAGTCTTTTGGCTTCTCTTGGAAAACCAGAAGGTCTGGCATCAAGACTCAGACTCCTTTAATAGATACCGTGAACAGAAACCTACTCCCCATTAAATGAGGACTTACGCTCTTCATTTCACTTGAATTTCCACCGCAGGCATTTGAATGTGCCACTGCTTGTTTAGGCCGTGCTTGGCAGAAGATGCCCAAACTCATTGTTGAACGAAACACACAACCAACAAAGCAAGCATATCTTCTCACTTACCAAGTTGCCTTATTTATTTCTGGTACCTTCCCCATTCTTAAGGGCTTTAGTACAGCCTTAATAACAGTTGACAGCACTGTCTCTTTCAATCCTAATTTGATTCATTTGCGTAGCATGTCATGTTCTCACATGTTAAACTGAGAGCCTGCCCCTGCCACTAATTCATTTCTGGTCACTGTCCAGCAGGGATCAAGAGCAGCCAATTAACTTTCATAGTTGTTTTTAACCACATTTTTAGGGTTTCTTTCTCTGTTCATTAATTCACTTTTGAGGGGAAGTTTTGAGTCCATTCACGTGAGGCATTTTAAGTAGCTCTGATTTAGACAAGTGCCTCGTGATCCTGTCTACACTGCTGTGCTTCTGTCATCTTAACTTGTGGCGGGACAGTGTTACCCGCTAGCAGACAGACCAGGGTCAGTAAGCCACAGATCATGCCGTGTCCTGGAGCCACCTGAGACCACCACTTGCACCTACACCCAAAGTCAGGATAAAACCAGGTGCCCTGGAGAAGTCTACTTGAATTATTCCTCAATAGAAAATTAAGCCCTGTAGAAGCTGAGTGCAGCTCCTCACAGTGATCCAGACCACACTCATAGCTACTAGTTGAATACACCATAAGAACACTTACTTTATAAGCTTTTAGATTTCAAACTACACATTTTTACAGCTAAAATCATCTCATCAGATTTTCACCTTTACATTATAGCTGGTGGAACTGAATTAATATATGTAAACCACAGAGATTCAGCCATGATAAAATAATTTCACAACTTCATAGCATAGCTATGAGGACAAAGTAAGTGACCCAGCATAAATCTCACAGCAATACTTTCTTTTTCTTTTTCTTTTTTTTTTTTTGTTTGAGACGCAGTCTCGCTCTGTCGCCCAGGCTGGAGCGCAGTGGCGCCATCTCGGCTCGCTGCAAGCTCTGCCTCCCGGGTTCACACCATTCTCCTGACTCAGCCTCCTGAGTAGCTGGGACTATAGGCACCTGCCACCACGCCCGGCTAATTTTTTGTATTTTTAGTAGATACGGGGTTTCACTGTGTTAGCCAGGATGGTCTCGATCTCCTGACCTCGTGATCCACCCGCCTCAGCCTCCCAAAGTGCTGGGATTACAGGCTTGAGCCACCGTGCCCGGCCAGCAATACTTTCTTTAAGATGTTCTGAGTACAGACATTTTTCATAACTGTCTGCCAAATTGCTGCTGCTGAGTATTCAACCAGAAAAATGAAAAAGAAATGTAGTGATAATTAAATTAACAATTTCTCATAGACCTTTAGCATGTGAATAAATGTGTTAGAAATTCGCATCAGGTGCTGTGAAGATCCAAATGCCATCCTATCCTCCACCTGCTGTCATTGGCTCCAGCAGCGTGTCTACCATAAAGAGTTGCTTAAAACAACAGTCTGTGAATACCTTAGATTTCAAAAGCATCATTTTAACCAAACTCTGTGAATTGAAAGTAGTTTTCCTGAAAAGAAATATTAAAATCCATTCCCTCACATTGTAAGTTTTAGAAGTAAAATATGACAGTAAACAGTTTTTCCAAAGTGCAATGACTAACTTTTTAACTTTCCCCCACTTTTTTGCCACTTAAAATGAGCAAAGACATCATTTTTTTTTTTGGCCTAAAATATTTTACTCCCATTTCTGGATTTCTGAGCTGGATTTCAATTCCAAGTCCTAAAAGGTATCCCAAATGACCATGTGTTTCAAGAGCTAATCTTCTCTTTAACAACTTCGACCTCGAGAATAGCCTCATAACTCTGGCTTAATGGAAAGTGTTCTCAGTAACTGGCCTTCCCTTTCTCTAATGATTCTAAGTTTTGTTAACTTAAAAAAAATCACTCAATTATAAGTTTGGAAAAGAGAGAAGGAGACTTTACTTTTTATAAAGGGTTTTAGCCTACAAGGTGGCCATCCTGCAGGCTGGGAAGCATGCCTCAGGCCAAGACCAGCAACAAGCACTTGGAAGGAGGAGGGGAGGGGTAGGAGTTTTATGTTGAACTGGTTGGCAAAACATACATATTCAACAGCTTACAGGAGGAGCTATGAATATTCATGAAGACAATCTTGGCACATGTATATTGAACAAACATGTATGTAACATATGACCTATGTTCACTTTAGGGTGGAGGCTGAACATTTCAATGCATTATAGTTAGGCCTTATATATCAAAAGGTCTTTTCAGGGCGTGAAGGCAGGCAAGTGCACAGTCTCTGTAAACTGGTCAGGAGCAGTCCGTGGTGGGTGGTCTTCTCATCAGGAGAAAGATACTGAAATCAGTTTCTTGTCCAATCAGAGCTGTACTTTTGGCTAATGGAACAGGGCATTAGTCAGCATCCGGGAACGGATGAGTTATAATTGTTTTAATATTGCTGATCTTGAGGCCAGTGCTTGTTTAGCTACCAGGGAAAAAGAAAAAGTTTGTGGCCATTAGAACATAGTTTATGCTCTAAGTCTAGGGGTGCATGACTTAACCTTTGCCTGACACGGCCTTTTTATAATTTCACATCTGTCCTGTTTATACTTTCACATCTTATTGCCACAAAGAGTCTGGTCAGCCTTATGATCTCTATTTTAATATTAATGCTAGTCAGTTGTGTCTAAACTCCAAAAGGAAAGGGTATAACGAGGCATGTCTGACCTCCTGCCATGTTTTTAAGGTTTTTCTGGGGTCCTCTTGGCCAAGAGGGGGGTCTGTTCAGCTGGTCGGGGGCTTAGGATTTTATTTTACTTTACAGTTTGAAGAATGATTAAGGCTCTACTTATAAAATATATGAAAGGGAAGCACTGTAGAAGGGAAATTTGAAAAATCTTATCTTCATATTCTCTGGGAAGACAATGCATTATTTTTAAGTAGTCTAATTACTGAAGCTCAGTTTCAAGCAGTTCATCTTCCACTGAATTCATCAAGTTATAAGGTTCCGAACTAAGCCTGGCCATTCGTGGTCTCTATTGACTTCGTGGGTTCAGGAGGAAAAGAAGACAAAGCATACATGGGAAATCTTTAATTTAAAAAGCACACTTCCTGGAGGTCAGCCCTGAACAGCCACACTGTCTGCTGCATACGAGTTCCCAACCAGTCACTGGCTCACCGTGCATCAGCCTTGTAGACAGCAAGTTGAGGGGCAGTGTTTCATAGTGGGGTCTTCTCTGCAGATTACAAACATTTGCAGTGGGGTGAAAATGAAAGTGAGCCATGGTGGGAGAACAGAACGCACAAAATACCCCCTTCTTCCCTTCTTATGTAAGGGAATTACCTACTTTGGCATGTTTTTTTATAAAGTGAGAAAGAAAAAGTGAAAAATTGATTTTCTGAAGAACGTGAAGGACACTTGAAGAGTATGTTTCTCTTGGCACAATGAATACATTTGGAAAACTGTCCTTGTGACTTGAGTAGCAATGGCTTGGAGGAGAAATGGGCATTTACTTAATGGATGGTCTATAATACTGTGTACCCTAACTGTCTAGAAGAGATAGGGTGGGGTACACTAAGTGGTGAAGCAGCTGTGGAAGGGGAGATGGATCCGTGAGCTGCCACCTCTGGAAACTTGTCTAGTGCTCTGACCTCACAGTGGTGTGTCTGAACTGCTTTCTGGAAGTCCCTTCACTCTTATCCCTGCTGTAAGGACATAGCCTGAGTTATCTCCCCAACAGAGAGCTCTAGAAAGTTGAGGACCAATGGGAGTGTAGGCTTATGCTAATTGTTTTCCTAAGAAACATGCAATCCAAAACACATCAGTTCAAAAAACAAAGCCAAGATACCTCTTCCTTTACACTCTCTATGAAACCGTTCTCCCACTCATTCATCATCCTTGTGCACATTTACGAGAAACACTTTTCGGTATTTGTTCTCTCATTCATCCTTCATGAATAGTTTAATCTGGTGTTCTCTCTACTTACCTACCCAACAAATGTTTTGTTTTGTTTTGTTTTTCTAATTTGGAGTTTTCTCAGCACCTAGCAGGATGTGATCAATATAACTGGGTGACAATTTAAGCAAGAATGAAATATCACTTTAAAGAGGAAATGCAAAGAATTGTAAAAGTTAAACACAAGGGTAATGTGAACCATGAGCTACAAAGACAGAGGTATAGCACTGCCAGGAGACCATAAAAATAGCCACATGGCAGGCGATAGTAGCTCCTATCCCTCTACTCCACACTCACTCTCATCTCAGCCATGTTTGCTTTCCTTCTCTGCACTTCCAGGAACTGACTTTTCTGTTCCTGGAATCTTTACGGTAAGGTACAGTTTACTTTGACTTGCCCGTTCACGTAGTGGCATGAGTGAAAAATACCCAAGTGATTGTACTTGTAAAAAAAGAAAAACTGGCCCTGGATTCTGTAGTCTTGGTCTCTACTGCAAACTTACATTTTATTGGCCCAATTTTTTTTTTTATCCCTGTGCCGGGTGAAGACATAGACTAAAATGCATGAAAAGAAAATATTTTATTGGATGTGCTGTTTAATTCATCAGTGTATCTTTTTCAATAGTTCACAAACCTGGGGCTAGTAAGTAATGACTTTTAGGCAGTCAGAATCATAAAAGAATATTGATTTTTAAAATATCTTTTACCGCCTATGACTATAACCTGGGGCAGAACTAGGCAGCTTATAATGTTTGTGGGCTTGTAAATGTTTACAAGGCTATCTGTAAAGCCAGTTCACCATGCCAGAGGATCAGAGGACTCAGGAAGCCAGAGACCACCCCCTTTCCAAATCCAAGAATTTCCCTTTCTTTCTCAGTTAAAAAAATTTCTTTGCTGCTTGACACAGTGAGGCTGTTACCTTCTGTTGGACAAAGTTTTCATCTTTAACTTCTGTGGCACTGCATTCCCATTGTTCTCTTTATTACCCACTTTTCCTTCTCTTCCCTACTTTCCACTCAGCCTCATTTACCTATTACTTATAAGACCTTGGACAAGCCACTAAACGGTGCACTTTGTCTGTAAAATAAGAAAGTTAAAAATATTTCATTAAGGTTCATCTTTCAACATGATTCTCCATTTTATTCATTCTCTTGGAGAATGTACCTGTTTGTTTCGTTTATGATCTATATATGAAAAAGTCCTAAAATTGTATTTCTAGTCCCAATTTCTCTCACTCTAAACTATCCAGATACCATTCCAATATAAATGTTCCATTAATATTCAAGACTTTGGTGTTGACCACTGCCAGTGAGAGTAGATAGGAATTGGTACCCTCTTTTGGAAGCAAATTAATAATATGTCTTAAAAGTCATGAAATATATTCAGACTTGTTGACCCAGGAATTCTGCTTCTAGGAATCTATCATAATAATTAAAAAATATATTTTTGGAAAACCGTAAGCATAAATATGCTCATTGCCCCTTTCCCCAAATGGAAAGGAATCTAAATGACCAATAGAAAAGGAATTAGGTAATGTATGATACATTAACTTGATAAATACTAAAACACTCTTAAAATGGTTTAGTTTCATGTGACTACATGGAAATATGTGCAATATATAATGTAATATAATATAATATAATATAATATAATATAATAATATAATAGCATGTGAGGGAAACCAACTATAGCTCTTACAAAGTTCTTGCAGAAAATATACCAAAATTATAATAATTGTGTGTTCAGGTGTCAGATCATACAAAAATATTAGGTAGTATGTTGTTATAGCATAATCCTTAAAGAATCATGGTTAATGGCTAACATTAGCATTTTTTTGGTATTTGGAAAATGGAATTTAAAAATAACAGACTCTCAGTCTCAGACCAAATACTAGGAAGGATTATAACACCCATGGATTTTTTGTCACTGAAGGCAAGAAACAGTGGTTAATAGAAGCAATGAGACCAAGACATTCCAGACTCCTTTGCTAGAATTCATTAGCTTTGATCAGGGGAATGGTTTGAGCACAGTATTTGTCAAAACATTTTTGACAGCCTTGTGGATAAGACTGTGAAATGTGAGCTGGATGATAATAACTTGGGTAAATTCATAGCTGGTTGAGAAACACCAAGAATCTTGATTAAGACATAGATCAACTCGAAAAGTAGGTTCTGCAGACTCACAACAAGGTACTGATGATCTATCTGGTGCGGATCTTTTTAGCATTTTTGTCAATCACTTAAATAAATAATCAGAAGGTGTTCTTGTCAAATGTGTCCAATTAAAATAGCTAGAAAGATTTTTTTTTTACAGTGGATGTCAGAAAAAGAAGAAAAAAGTCCTGCAAAGCCTAAAATTTTAGACCAATGTCAAGAAGATGAAACAAAGTACAGGTAACCATGACTCCTTCAACCCATGTTTAAAAAGTTGGCTCCTCAGCTGTTGGGTGGGTGAGACTTGGTTTAACCAAAGTTCGTATGGACAAAAAAGATTGCCAGAGGTTTTAGTTGATCGTATCTCCAATATGAGTCACACAGTTATATAGAGGCAAAAACCAGAAAAAGTCATCTGGGGGTAGTATGATAGAGTCCAGAGCAAAGGAAGTAACTATTCTCACTTTACCCTCAACTTCTTGAACCAGAGCTTCAGAAACCTGTTTAATTCCAGGTGTCTTATTTTAATGAGGGAAATGGACAATACAAAGGTAATGCAAGCAATATGACCAGAAAGAAAAATGCATGGATACCAGGACAAATGAGGAAGAGGTTAAAAAAAGTGTTGTGACAGCTGGGCTCATATACATAGCAGGCTCTCAGGTGAAAGAGGATGGAGGTCCGACAGAGGAGTCAGTGTTTGCAAACAATGCTTTCTTTTCTTTCTTTCTTTTTTTTTTATTGATCTTAGCTCCATTATTTACTTCTTTTCTTTGTTTTATTATTATACTTTAAGTTCTAGGATGCATGTGCACAACGTGCAGGTTTGTTACATATGTATACATGTGCCATGTTGGTGTGCTGCACCCATTAACTCGTCACGTGCTGTAGTGCCAGCAATGCTGGGCTGCTGCACGAAGTGGAGTCACCATGAAATGAATTCCTTTGCTGCTAATGAACGAGTCAAACTAATTTTTCCTTACTAGCATCTCTGTGCCTGATATGTGTGTCTAAAACATTCTACAGAAATCAACACGTGAAGAGGGAATCTTTTTTTTTTAAATTTTTTACTTTAAGTTCTGGGATGCATGTGCTGAATGTGCAGGTTGGTTATATAGGTTTACATGTGCCATGGTGGTTTGCTGTACCTATCAGCCCGTCATCTAGGTTTTAAGACCCGCATGCAAATTAGGTATTTGTCCTAACACTTTCCCTCCCCTTACCCCCTATCCCCCGACAGGCCCTAGTGTGTGATGTTCCCCTCCCTGTGTCCATGTGTTCTCATTGTTCAACTCCCACTTATGAGTGGGAACATGCGGTGTTTGGTTTTCTGTTCCTGTGTCAGTTTGGTGAGAATGATGGCTTCTAGTTTCATCTGTGTCCCTACAAAGGATGTGATCATGAAGTCAGGGAGGGGGAAAGCTGCTCTGTGTAGTTTGTCCTGAAATAAATAGCCCAAGGAGGTGAAGTGAGAACTTTGTAATCTTTCAATGGCACTCACAGATCTCATGGCATTTTAGAGTCAAATTGAAGGTACGAAAGATTGGCAAAGGATGTGTGACCTTTGGATTTAGGAAAAGGTGTAGTCTTAATAATGTGCTGTTTTTCTTAGAAACTGTTCATAATGTCAGCTATGTGAAATGCAAAACTGCTTGTCAGTTTACCCTTGTGATTTATTTAGCTGAAACCTATCTTATTATTGATTCAAAATATGGCACCTGCCATTTCTTAAAGATAAATGAGGTAAAAAATCTATTTTTTGGACCATTTTTAACTTCCACCTCCAACTGAAAAATGTCAAGAGTAAGAATGAATGTAAAAACACAGCAGAGATGGACTAAACTCAATTTCAAGGTCGTTAAACATCTCAATCCTTTTTTTAAATAGTGACTTCTCATAAACTTGAAGCTCATTAATTTTGAATTGTTGATCATTTCAAGGCTAAAATTCAGCTTTGTCCTCTTTCAAATAAAAGTTAAAACTTCAGAGTATTATTAAAAAGATAAACTGCTTTTTCAAAAAAAATTCGTGTATTAATGCTAATTTCTAATACAAATACTAATTTCAAAAGAAATTTGAATTTATGGATACATAGTAGTTATACATGAGGTGCATATAATATTTTGATCCAAACATACAGTGTATAAGGATCAAAACTGGGTAATTGGGATATCTATCACCCCAAACATTTATCATTTCTTTGTGTTGGGAACATCCCAAATGTTCTCTTCTAGCTATTTTCAAATACGCGATAAATTATTTGTAACTATAGTCGCCCTATTATGTTAGCGAACACTAGAACTTTTTCCTTCTACCTAGCTGTATGTTTGTATCATTAACCACCTTCTCCTCATCCCTTTTCCCAGCCTCAGGTAATCACCATTCTATTCAACACTTCCATGAGATCAATTTGTTTAGTCCACACAGAGGAGTACAAACATTTTATTTGTCTTTGTGTGCCTCACTTAGGAACTTTAAATTATTGATTTAAAGTAGTGGTTGGTGGTTAGTTGATGTTGGGGATACTAAAAAATAGTAAACAAAAAGAAACATTAACGATCATTTAGTATTATTTTTCAAAATTGGAAACAGGCCAAGGAGAGGACAAGCAAGTCCTTGCCTAAGCTAGTGCTGCTGGTCACTGGAGGGTGAGGTCTAGAACTCAGGTCCCGTAGTTCGTGGTCAAATGCTCTTTATATAACACCACGGGGCAACTGAAACTCAAAGTAAATTAAGCCAAGGAATATTGCATTGAGCGCCTCGTTTGTAGAATGTACTGTGCTAAGTCCTGGTAAGAGGACTGAGTATACAGAGAGGACACAACACTTTTCTTTCTTTTTTTTTTTTTTTTTTTGAGACGGGGTCTCACTCTGTCGCCCGGGCTGGAGTGCAGTGGTGCAATCTCAGCTCACTGCAAGCTCTGCCTCCTGGGTTCACGCCATTCTCCTGCCTCAGCCTCCCGAGTAGCTGGGACTACAGGCATATGCCACCATACCCGGCTAATTTTTTGTATTTTCAGTAGAGACGGGGTTTCACCATGTTAGCCAGGATAGTCTCGATCTCCTGACCTGATGATCTGCCCGCCTCAGCCTCCCAAAGTGCTGGGATTACAGGCCTGAGCCACTGCGCCTGGCCACACATTTCTTAAAGAAACTCAGGCTTAGCTAGGAGATAAGTCTGAAAACCTAAAAAATCAATAAAGGCAGAGCCCAATAAAAGCTGTTCTATTATAGCCAAAGCAGAGAGGTCCATGTGTCCAGTTCTCTAATGATCTGTCTTGAAAAAAAAGAGTAAAATTTAGAACACAGGTAGGAATGGTGGACAACCTATTCTTCATATTCTTTATCTCTTAAAAGAGTAGCATGTGAGAATGGGGCAGCAGAGAGTTCTAGGGTTAAATTCTCTGGTGAGAATGGATAGGGGGTCTATGCTTGGTTGGAAGTTCACAGTTTAATGTGCGTGACAACCGGCCAGACAAGGCAATGGGAGGATCCTTTCATGAAAATAAAGGACTCAGGGCTGAGTGGGCTAAGGAATATAGGTGGATAGAGCCACATTTTCTTCAGAAAACCTGTGTCTGCTTCAACACACAAGACAAGTAGGTGGGTGAAGTCTGATAGTATATACCATAGAGCGTAATCAACGTTATTTTAATTTAAGTATTTATTTAAACATGCATTAAATTAACTTATCGTAGCCACGGAAAAACTCACTAAAATATCTATTTACTTTCCGATGAATTCACCATGATTAATTAAATGCAAATTGTACCCTTATGTAACTGACCTGCCTATATCATTAGATATAGGCCAATTGATTCATTAGATAGAAATCATTAGATTTAAGCTGTAGGGCATTTGCAAAGGTGGTAAATTTGATTCTAAAGACATTCTATGTGGCATAAGCATCATAAAGAATCTATTGTTCGTTTAGAGTATATCTATGTATCTATAAAACTATGTATCAATTTAGAGAGGACAACTAACTTTAAAAAAATCTCAATAGCAGGAGAGCGTGGAACTAGAGCATTGAAAAGTAGTATTAAATCATGTAGAAACAAGTTAAAAAGAGGGAGGGGAGGTCAAGATAATCTCTATTTCTTGCCACTAGAAATGTTGTCTTTCAGGAGCACATCCTCTGTGATCTTCTGAGATGTGTTAAGGTATATGTTCTTTCTGCTTGTCAATAATTAATCTTATTTTGAGGTCACGCGTCCTCATCCATAACCAATTCCCCAGCAAAGACTGATGAGTAAAAGGCAATAACACCTGAAAACAACCTTATGTTTTTTCCAGATAGATTTTGCCCCAAGGTAAATGACAATATATGAATGGCTGATAGATTGTCCTGGCCTAAAACCCATCTACATACACCACTGGAATAGTGAATTTTATGTGAGAAATCTAGGCTTGTAATTTTTGTCAAGAAGAAAATTGACATAGATATTAGATGTCTGTTTTGAGTCCCCCTAAAATTAACATGTTGATTCCCTGATCCCCAGTGCAACTGTATTTAAAGATAGGGCCTTTGAGGGAGTAATTGAGGTTAGATGAGATCATTAGAGTGGGGCCCTAAACCAATGGGACTGCAACCTAATAAGAAGAGGAAGAGACATCAGAGATCTTTCTCTCTCTCCGGCACAGAGAAGAGGTCATGTGAGGACACAGAGAGAACTGTAGCTTTCTGCAAGGCAGGAAGAGAGGCTGCACCAGCAACCAACCCTGCCGGCACCTTGACCTTGGATGTCTGGCCTCCAGAACACTGAGAAAATAAATGTTGTTTAAGCCACGCAGTTTGTGGTATTTTGTTATGGGATCCCAAGCAGACTAACACAAGGTCCAACATGAACTATGAATTAAAGCCCATAGCGTAAAAATCTATGCAATATTAATTTATAAGATTAACAGTTAAATTAACAAATTTGTGTGAAATTGAAGGAAACAAATGCCTGCTTAGCCAACAATGAAGCCAAACCGGAAAATGCACTTGCGAACCCTGGATCAAATTTAATAAAATATTTCAGTAAGATGTTTTTCACTTGGGACTCACAGCCTATGGGGAAAGGGGTTTACCTTTATTAATATTTTGTTTAAGCACTTTGAGAATATTTAAAAATCTCTCTTGTTTTAGCACAGATTTACTATGGATTTTCACTGAAAGTTGATTAAACCAGACTTTCTCAAGGTGCTGACAGATTCTCTGCCTCTGAATCCTCGGTAGAAAGAGATGTTAAGATTTAAGTGGGGCTGCAGGTAATTCTGTATTTTTTTTTCTACTGCATTCCTGCCATGCTGCTTGGGAATTTGTTTAGTATTTTACAAGTTGTTCACAAGACTTTCACTTGATCTTCAGCAGAGCATCTTCCAGGGCAATACCAGTGGCCTGGGAGCCTCAGGAACTAGTTTCACAATGCTCTGGAGGAAGAATGGGACTTTAAGGTACTAGTCACACTGCTGCAGGCTGTGCTCCAAGGGTGGTTGAGGCACCTGCCAGTGACAGGCCTCGCCATGTATGAAAGATGGAGGAATTTCATGTACAATTTATGAAACTGTGAGGCATGTGCAACTTCAGCAGAAAGGAAAGATCAGCTATTCTAATGCTGTATTTGTACCTGAAAAAGCTAGTTTTGTCTTTGACTGCTGGCTCAGAAAGACTCCAGGCCCTCAAAGTACCACTTTCTTGGTGAAGATTCTTTCATTGGTGCCACAGGGAGCCATCAGGTCACTATCCAGGCATTAATGTCTTTACAGCCAAAATGTTCAGGTATCAATCCACTGTGCTACTAACTGAACTTCACAAATGCTGCTTGAAGCCCTGCTCAGTGCTGGGCACGGTCCTTGGAATGTAGTGCGGTGAGGGGTGGAGCCCTCTTAACTATTGACAGCACCTAACCTGGGCTTGCTATTTACAGTCAGCAATCATCTACTGAGCATCACTCTGTAAAAGGTATGCTCTTACATTTTTGAAAAAATTATTTTCATATTCAGGAAAACTATCTCACGTGCAGAGACACACGTAGGCTCAAAATAAAGGGATGGAGGGAGATCTACCAAGAAAATGGAAAACAAAAAAAGGCAGGGGTTGCAATCCTAGTCTCTGATAAAACCGACTTTAAACCAACAAAGATCAAAAGAGACAAAGAAGGCCATTACATAATGGTAAAGGGATCAATTCAACAAGAAGAACTAACTATCCTAAATATATATGCACCCAATACAGGAGCACCCAGATTCATAAAGCAAGTCCTTAGTGACCTACAAAGAGACTTAGACTCCCACACAATAATAATGGGAGACTTTAACACTCCACTGTCAACATTAGACAGATCAACAAGACAGAAAGTTAACAAGGATATCCAGGAATTGAACTCAGCTCTGCACTAAGTGGACCTAATAGACATCTACAGAACTCTCCACCCCAAATCAACAGAATATACATTCTTCTCAGCACCACACCGCACTTATTCCAAAATTGACCACATAGTTGGAAGTAAAGCACTCCTCAGCAATGTAAAAGAACAGAAATTATAACAAACTGTCTCTCAGACCACAGTGCAATCAAACTAGAACTCAGGATTAAGAAACTCACTCAAAACCGCTCAACTACATGGAAACTGAACAACCTGCTCCTGAATGACTACTGGGTACATAACGAAATGAAGGCAGAAATAAAGATGTTTTTTGAAACCAATGAGAACAAAGACACAACATACCAGAATCTCTGGGACACATTCAAAGCAGTGTGTAGAGGGAAATTTATAGCACTAAATGCCCACAAGAGAAAGCAGGAAAGATCTAAAATTGACACCATAACATAGCAATGAAAAGAACTAGAGAAGCAAGAGCAAACACATTCGAAAGCTAGCAGAAGGCAAGAAATAACTCAGATCAGAGCAGAACTGAAGGAGCTAGAGACACAAAAAACCCTTCAAAAAATCAATGAATCCAGGAGCTAGTTTTTTGAAAAGATCAACAAAATTGATAGACCGCTAGCAAGACTAATGAAGAAAAGAGAAAAGAATCAAATAGATGCAATAAAAAATGATAAAGGGGATATCACCACCGATCCCACAGAAATACAAACTACCATCAGAGAATACTATAAACACCTCTATGCAAATAAACTAGAAAATCTAGAAGAAATGGATAAATTCCTTGACACATACACCCATCCAAGATTAAACCAGGAAGAAGTTGAATCTCTGAATACACCAATAACAGGCTCTGAAATTGAGGCAATAATTAATAGCTTACCAACCAAAAAAAGTCCAGGACCAAATGGATTCACAGCCAAATTCTACCCGAGGTACAAGGAGGAACTGGTACCATTCCTTCTGAAACTATTCCAATCAACAGAAACAGAGGGAATCCTCCCTAACTCATTTTATGAGGCCAGCATCATCCTGATACCAAAGCCTGGCAGAGACACAACAGAAAAAGAGAATTTTAGACCAATATCCCTGATGAATATCAATGCAAAAATCCTCAATAAAATACTGGCAAACCGAATCCAGCAGCACATCAAGAAGCTTATCCACCATGATCAAGTGGGCTTCATCCCTGGGATGCAAGGCTGGTTCAACATATGCAAATCAATAAACATAATCCAGCATATAAACAGAACCAATGACAAAAACCATATGATTATCTCAATAGATGCAGAAAAGGCCTTTGACAAAATTCAACAGCCCTTCATGCTAAAAATTCTCAATAAATTAGGTATTGATGGAACGTATCTCAAAATAATAAGAGCTATCTATGACAAACCCACAGCCAATATCATACTGAATGGGCAAAAACTGGAAGCATTCCCTTTGAAAACAGGCACAAGACAGGGATGCCCTCTCTCACCACTCCTATTCAACATAGTGTTGGAAGTTCTGGCCAGGGCAATCAGGCAGGAGAAAGAAATAAAGGGGATTCAATTAGGAAAAGAGGAAGTCAAATTGTCCCTGTTTGCAGATGACATGATTGTATATCTAGAAAACCCATTGTCTCAGCCCAAAATCTCCTTAAGCTGATAGGCAACTTCAGCAAAGTCTCAGGATACAAAATCAATGTACAAAAATCACAAGCATTCTTATACACCAATAACAGACAAACAGAGAGCCAAATCATGAGTGAACTCCCATTCACTATTGCTTCAAAGAGAATAAAATACCCAGGAATCCAACTTACAAGGGATGTGAAGGACCTCTTCAAGGATAACTACAAACCACTGCTCAGTGAAATAAAAGAGGATACAAACAAATGGAAGAGCATTCCAAGCTCATGGATAGGAAGAATCAATATCGTGAAAATGGCCACACTGCCCAAGGTAATTTATAGATTTAATGCCATCCCCATCAAGCTACCAATGACTTTCTTCACATAATTGGAAAAAACTACTTTAAAGTTCATATGGAACCAAAAAAGAGCCTGCATTGCCAAGTCAATCCTAAGCCAAAAGAACAAAGCTGGAGGCATCACACTACCTGACTTCAAACTATACTACAAGGCTACAGTAACCAAAACAGCATGGTACTGGTACCAAAACAGAGATATAGACCAATGGAACAGAACAGAGCCTTCAGAAATAATGCTGCATATCTACAACTATCTGATCTTTGACAAACCTGACAAAAACAAGCAATGGGGAAAGGATTCCCTATTTAATAAATGGTGCTGGGAAAACTGGCTAGCCATATGTAGAAAGCTGAAACTGGATCCCTTCCTTACACCTTATACAAAAATTAATTCAAGATGGATTAAAGACTTAAATGTTAGACCTAAAACCATTAAAACCCTAGAAGAAAACCTAGGCAATACCATTCAGGAGATAGGCATGGGCAAGGACTTCATGTCTAAAACACCAAAAGCAATGGCAACAAAAGCCAAAATTGACAAATGGGATCTAATTCAACTAAAGAGCTTCTGCACAGCAAAAGAAACGACCATCAGAGTGAACAGGCAACCTACAGAATGGGAGAACATTTCTGCAATCTACTCATCTGACAAAGGGCTAATATCCAGAATCTACAATGAACTCAAACAAATTTACCAGAAAAAAACAAACAACCCCATCAAAAAGTGGGTGAAGGATATGAACAGACACTTCTCAAAAGAAGACATTTATGCAGCCAACAGACACATGAAAAAATGCTCATCATCACTGGCCATCAGAGAAATGCCAATCAAAACCACAATGAGATACCATCTCACACCAGTTAGAATGGCGATCATTACAAAGTCAGGAAACAACAGGTGCTGGAGAGGATGTGGAGAAATAGGAATACTTTTACGCTGTTGGTGGGAGTGTAAACTAGTTCAACCATTGTGGAAGTCAGTGTGGTGATTCCTCAGGGATCTAGAACTAGAAATACCATTTGACCCAGACATCCCATTACTGGGTATATACCCAAAGGACTATAAATCATGCTGCTATAAAGACACATGCACACATATGTTTATTGTGGCACTATTCATAATAGCAAAGACTTGGAACCAACCCAAATGTCCAACAACGATAGACTGGATTAAGAAAATGTGGCACATATACATCATGGAATACTATGCAGCCATAAAAAATGATGAGTTCATGTCCTTTGTAGGGACATGGATGAAACTGGAAATCATCATTCTCAGCAAACTATTGCAAGGACAAAAAACCAAACACCGCATGTTCTCACTCATAGGTGGGAACTGAACAATGAGAACACATGGACACAGGAAGGGGAACATCACACACCGGGGCCTGTTGTGGGGTGGGGGTAGTGGGGAGCGATAGCATTAGGAGATATACCTAATGTTAAATGACGAGTTAATGGGTGCAGCACAGCAACGTGGCACATGTATACATACGTAACTAACCTGCACGTTGTGCACATGTACCCTAAAACTTAAAGTATAATAAAAAAGTGAAGTAAGTTGCAAAAAAAATTATTTTCATTTTTAATTGACATATAATCATTGTACATATTTATGGAGTACAGTGTGATGTTTCAATTTCAACTTTGTGTAATGATCAAATCAGGGTAACTGCCATATCCATCACCTCAAAAATTTATCATTTCTTTGTGGTGGGAACATTCAAATCCTCTCTTGTAGCTATCTTGAGATATGCAATACCTATTGTTGACAATGGTCACCCTAGTGTGTAGTGGGACATCAGAACACATTCTTCTTTTCTAATTGTAACTTTTGTTAAATTTAGCCTAAAACTGCCTCCTTACATATTTCAAGCCCAACCTAAAGGTTTCTCAGTACCTAGTGAACTGTAACCTTACTGGTTGTGTAAACAGATAGTAGCCTACTCTTGTGCCAATTAAATATGGCCAACTGTTCAAACTGAGGTTGTTCCCGGAACAAAGCCAGGTCCGGCTGCGTTTTCTCAAGGCCCAATAAGGAGAAGCAGACAAACTAGGAAAGAAGGGAATTTATGGCTATAATCGGATGCAGGGAGAAGGCCAGAGATAATTCCAGCAGACCAACTCGAAAGTGTTACAATTTTCTTAGTGCTTATATAGGTTGGGGTTATGCGCCTGTGTGCAGTGTAGCATTCGCCTAAGTCTATTGGTAACTAATTTTGTTTCAACTAAAAGGTCAGAGGCAAACTAAGTCTGATTAAAAGGGCCTCAGTACCTTCAAGGCCTGTCTGCTGTGGTACCAGAGTGATTATTTCTATCTTATCTCCTTTACAGCTTGGTCCGGAGAGCTGCCTTAGACTCTCCAATGAATCTATTCGAACAGCTGCCTCTGTTACCTTGACTGTCTCAGATTTCGTTGACCCGAGACGGGTCCTGGCACTAGGAATGAAAGACTGTCTCTATTATTTTGGTTTGCTCCAGGTTAGGGAGAAGCCCACGCAAGGCTCCTACTGACCATATGTTTCATTTCTAGCTTTGCTGTCTGGGCGCCGATTTTGCCGGGTTTAACTATTTGCTCAATGTTAAGGCAGCTCTGTGAAAATTTGTCTGTGTAACTGGAGTGCTATGCAGGCCTGTCTGTGTGACTGTCATGCAGGCCTGTTTGTGTGTTTGTCAGGGAAAACTGGCCTGCCACGAGGTTGCATAAGGCAAATGCGGAGCGGTAAACGACCGGATCGCTTCTGTACCTCACTTCCGTTTTCTGTAGGCCACTTTCCTTTTTCTGCCTGTAAATCTTCCACCACGTGGCTGCGCTGGACTCTCTCTGTGCCTACTCTGGTTTGGGGGTTGTCTAATTCGTGAATTGTTCCTTGCTCAATTAAACTCAGTGAAATTTAATTTGCCTTAGTTTTTGTTCTGAAGTGCCTGAAGCAGCTTGTTACAAGGGATTTCACATAGAAGGCAGTTTGCTCTCACAGACCTTGAACAAAATTGTATTTCCCACACAGACCTTACTTGTTAATGACTCAGTTTAGCAAATATTTATCATTGTTTGTTCTGTGCCAGGCACTGTGTGAAGTGCAGGTCTTAGTGATTTCCCTAGGGAAGTAGCCAAACACGTGACTCCTTGCTTATTGTGATTAGGCCAATTACTGTTTTTTTTGGTTTTTGTTTTCTTGAGACGGAGTCTCTCACTCTGTTGCCCAGGCTGGAGTGCAGTGGTGCGATCTCGGCTCACTGCAAGCTCCACCTCGCGGGTTCACGCCATTCTCCTGCCTCAGCCTCCCGAGCAGCTGGGACTATAGGCACCCGCCACCATGCCTGGCTAATTTTTTGTATTTTTAGTAGAGAGGGGGTTTCACCGTGTTCGCCAGGATGGTCTCCATCTCCTGACCTCGTGATCTGCCCGCCTCTGCCTCCCAAAGTGCTGGGATTACAGGCGTGAGCCACTGCACCTGGCCAATTCCTGGTCTTAAAGTTGCATGTTTATAATAAAATTACAGCTGTACTTCTTTCTTTTTTGAGACAGGATCTCGCTGTGTCATCTAGGCTGGAGTGCAGTGGCACCATCATAGTTCATTGCAGCCTTGATCTCCTGGGCTTAAGTGATCCTCCCACCTCAGCCTCCTGAGTAGCTGGGAATGCAGGAACACGCCACCACACCCAGCTAATTTTTCTACTTTTTTGTGGAGACAAGGCCTTGCTGTGTTGCCTAAGCTGGTCTCGCACTCCTGGGCTCAAGCAATCCTCCTGCCTTGGCCTCCCAAAATGCTGGGATTACAGGCCTGAGACATCACACCAACTTTGTACTTCTCTTTTTTTTTCAAGTATATAATACATAATTATTACCTATCATCAACCTGCTGTCCAGTAGGTCCCTGCACTTCCCTTAATGCAGCTTTCTTGTTGATTCATTCATTTACTCAAACAACATCTAATTCATTTGATAAGAAAGACCTTTAGGTGGTATGCAAAGCATTGTAGAGGGCTATTATGTATAGATGTGTGCATTTATGTGTGCATATATATTTGTGTTTTCACACAAAATTATGTCTGGAAGAAATCCTTTAATGGGAATTTTTAAAAAGAAAGATCTAAAATGCTCCTGGTAATTTTCCTCCTGGTGTTACAGTTAGCAGAGCTCCACTTCTGAAGTTTCCTAAGTCTTTATCAACATCACCTTGGGAATTATCGCAAGGACAAATACAGACTTAGGAAGCCAAGGTTGAAATTTGAATCCCTCAGGACATGTGATCTCTACCATAATTTGACTTGGATGCTATTCAGAGTCTGCTGAGGAATATAATTTTTTTTCAATATTTTAAATTTTCATTTCAAATGGAAGTTTGTAAGACTTTTTGTACTAAGTCTCTAGAATAACTGGCACTTAAGACAATCAGTGAATTTAAATACTTGGGGTCCTCCATTAATAACAAAGTCGCATGCTAGGAGTTCTGCTTCTAATGAAAAACTACACCTCTTGAAATCCCTTGAGGGGGTGACATATTTCCAGGAAATTCATCTTGTTGGGTAATTTTGTTTTGCATGGGACTATTAAAAGATGCCTAGACTTCAGGCGTAAGACTTCTTAGCTGTGCATTCTAGGATAATCCTACTTTTTCTTGGGGATCTTTTGGGGGTAATTAGTCACTGATTCAGGCTGACTGGTTTCTTATACCTTGAAAGTTTAAAATGTTTTTGTAGGAAGTCTTTGACATGGAGAAATTGATCAGTAATAATTTAATATTTTAAAATCAGCGTGAGTTATAATATACACACTATCAAATACACATTTTAAGTGCATAATTCAATGAGTTTTGATGTGCGTAAGTACCACTACAGTGAAGATATAGGACATGTCCATCATCCTAGAAAGTCTCCTCATTTACTGCGTACTAATTCTCTGCCAGGTACTTTGCTAAGTGATTTATTTGCATTGTTGCTTTTAATTTTCCTTAAATATTAGAAACAGGCTATTATGGGCTGAATTTTGTCCCCCACCCCCAAATTCATATGTTGAAGCCCTAACTCCCTAATAACTCAGAATGTGACTGTATTTGACAATAGGGCTTTAAGAAAGTAATTAAGTTAAAATGAGGCCATTAGGATAGGCCCTAATCCAATCTGACTGATGTCCTTATAATGAGAGGAAATTTAGAGGCACATAGATACCAGGGACATGCACACACACGGGAAAGACCATGAGAGGACGCAGTGAGAAAGCAGCCACCTATGAGCCAAGGAAAAAGGCCTCAGAAGAAACCAGACCTGCTGACACCTTGATCTTAGACTTCCAGCCTCTGGAACTGTGAGAAGATCCATTTCTGTGGTTTCCATCACCTACCCAGTCAGTGGTATTTTGTTATGGCAGCCCTAGCAGACTAAGACACAGGAATTAGCTTAGCTTTCCTTTTTAACAATAAAAAAACATAAAACGCGGTGTAGGAATGCCACAGAATTTGCCCACAGTCACCCAGTTAGCTAGGAACTTTGCTTAGGGTAGGGCAGTGGTTGGGTCCTTCATGTATCTGGCTCCGAGTCCGTGCTCTTAATCACGGCACATACTGACTCCTCAAGTACCCAAACACGCTAAATAGTCTGAAAACTTCTGGTAAAGGTGTTCAGTTGACATTAATAGAACTCTTAGGGGCTCTGGGTTAAATGCGATAAGCACCTTAGGGTAACGGTGGCTCCCGGATCAGCACCAACATCACGTTTTGCCATCCTGTATTTTCTTGTCCGTTCAATAACTGTCGGGTGGTAATCTATAATTCTCGATGATAGAGGTTCTCAAACTTTGTTACAGATTAGAATCACCTGGAGAGCTTTTAAAAATGTAACTAACTGGGAGGCTGAGGCAGGAGGATGGCTGGAGCCCAGAAGTTTGAGTCCAGCCTGGGCAACCTAGTGAGCCTCCCATCTCTAAAAAGAAAAATCAATATCTAAATGGCCCAGTCACACTCCATACCAATTAACAAGAGTGTCTGGGCATGAGAGCCAGGCATCGATCATTTTAAAGAGGTTCCTACATTATCTTATTGTGTAACAAAGTTTGGGAAGTGGTACCACTGGCTGGCTGACTTGCTGTATCTAACAAGACACTTTGAAAAGGGATTTGAGAAACACCAGTTACAGAATTAAACAGATTTAGCAAACCACTTGGTGGCAGTAAACTCCCTATTAACCACAATATGAGTCTACGCTATGGGTGGGCTTCTTAATTTCTATTCCTTTGTGGGAATCTTTTAAAATGTTTTCTTTACTTTTTGATCCCCAAACAATGTCAATTCTCAAATGAAAAAGGGTAAGTTTTCCTCCTTTTTTCTGCCAGACTAAATTATGCATAAAGACTAGACATTGCAATCTCTTATAAAAAATTGACTTTTGAGAGTTAAATTGTAAAAAGTCTGAATTAGAGAATCTTTTAGGAGCACGTATTTTTCTATGGCTGTATCATCCAGTCTGAATAAACACACATAGAGAAAAAAATTGAATTACATTTTGTGCACTCCTTTATATGTTCAAGATGTCACAATAACTTGGAAAAAACATCTACTATTCCATAGAAATATCTTTAAATGTTCTCCACAAAATTTGTCACGGTACTTTCTTCATCTTTTATCCATTTAAGGGAAGACGAAAATGCCTAAAAATGCAATTCAACAACAATTATAAGTAACTAGATCAGGTGTTCACATATTTGGAACTGAAAAATTTGAGCTTGGTCAATGAAAAACCTCAATAGGCTAGTTAATTATGATGTAAGTGGATTTAGTACTTATGCTGGTCCTGGTGAAAATGACAGTCGTATGAGTTTTTAAAACACTGAATTCCACACCAGGGTTTGTCACCAACGGCTGTGCAAGCCTGGGCAGGCTGCTTAAACTCCCTGAGCCTCAGTTCCGCATCTGAAAATGATTAGATAGTCAGAAAGAACCCCCCCGCCCCGGGCCTTTTTTCTTCCCTCTAGAATTTGGTAAAAAATGATATAAAGTGCCAAGTTTTCCAAGTGCATCCCTGGGAAATATAGTGGTGATACAACATCTAGTTTTGGGGGTTGGGAGGTGGTCTTCTGAATCGACTTTATGCACAAGCCATATATAAAAACTTTCTGGAGGATATAAATTCATATTACATGGTGGTGATAAAAGAAACTTTCTTCAATTCACAAATCAGAGAGGAAATCAGTTGTTCCCCCTCGTTTGGCTAATTAGTCTACAGTATCAGATTTGGGTCGTTGCAGCAACCCCATAAGGCAGCCTGGGAGACTCTCCCACATGGTGTGATTAGAAAAGCGTTGGTTGCCTTGGTGCATTTTACTCTCCCCTGCTGAAGACGGAAGAGTAAAATTATTCAAAAGTTCTGGCTCTGTATAGAGGAAGAAAAGAAATGGAGATTACTCACATAAGAGGCCTCACACAGGGTCTGGCAGAGAGTAGGTACTAGTAATTTTAGTTTCAACCCTCTTTGCATTTGGTCCTTTGAAATACCTTGTATTCATCAGCTCTTTGAGGCAATTGCTTCTGAACCCCAGCAGGCAGCTGCTTCCCACATTATGGGGATTCCTCTGCATATTTGGAGCCAGTTCCCTGTTAAGGGCAACTCAACTTAGGCAAGATGGGAATTTAGTCCCAAGTCTAAATCATTTCAATATTTATGCACATATTTTTGCCAAACCATTACCTGATTTGATGGAAAGCATAAAAAATAATGCTCTAAACATCAACAGAAAACATACAACTAAAATTATACTTGGTCAGGCGTGGTGGCTCATGCCTATAATCCTAGCAGTTTGGGAGGCTGAGGTAGGAGGATTACTTGAAGCCAGAAGGTCAGGACCAATCTGAGCAACATAATGAGACCTCATCTCTACAAAAAATTAAAATATTATCTGGGCGTGATAGTGTACACTTGTAGTTCCAGCTACTTGGATGCTGAGATGGGAAGATCACTTGAACTCAGGAGTTCAAGGCTGCAGTGAGCCATGATTGTGCCACTGCACTCCAGCCTGAGCAACAGATCACGACCCCATTTCTAAGATACACACACACACACACACACACACACACACACACACCAATTAATACTTGCTATGGTCTGAATGTTTGTGTTCATTCGTATGTTGAAATCCTAGCCCATAAGATGATGGTATTAGGAGACAGGTCCTTTAGGAGGTGATTAGATCACGAAAGCAGAGCTCTCATGAATAGGATTAGTGCCCTTACAAAAGAGGTCCAAGGGAGTGCATTTGCTGCTTCCACCAAGTGAGGACACGGCAAACTCAAAGTGCCATCTACGAGCCACAAAGCATGCACGCCTTCACCAGAAACCAGATCTGTCATGATCTTGCACTTCTCAACCTTCAGAACTGTGAGAAACACATTTCTGTTGTTTATAAGCCACCCAGTTGATGGCATTTTGTTATAATAGCACAAACAGACTAAGACAATGGGGAAAGACTAATATTGGGAACAAGACGAGGATGTCTATTCTTGTTACTTTAATTCATCATTGTACTAGAGGTCCTAGTCTGTACAATAAGGCAAAGAGCCAGGCACAGTGGCTTACGCCTATAATCCCAGCACTTTGGTAGGCCTAGGTGGGTGGATCACCTGAGGTCAGGAGTTCGCAGGCTGGCCAACAAGGTGAAACTCCGTCTCTACTAAAAATACAAAAATTAGCTGGGCGTGGTGGCAGGTGCCTGTAATCCCAGCTACTCGGAAGCCTGAGGCAGGAGAATCGCTTGAACCCAGGAGGCGGAGGTTGTAGTGAGCTGAGAATCGCGCCACTGCACTCCAGTCTGGACAACAGAGCAAGACTCTGTCACACACACACACACACACACACACACACACACACACACACTATATATATATATGTATACAGATTGAATAAGAAGTAAAATGATCTTTATTTATAGACGATATGATTACATATGTAGAAAATTCCAAGTGCTCACCAAAAAAATAATAAAATCTACTATAACTAGTAAGTCAATTTAGCAAAGTTGCTAGATAAAAGGCCAATATGCAAAGATTAATTGTTTTCCTATATACTAGCCATAGACAATTAAAAAAAACTGTAAAAGATACAATTTACAGTAGCACCACAAAAGCATGAAGATAATTTAGGAGACATTTTAACAAAGTATTTATAACACCTCTATGTTGAAACTATAAAACGTTCCCACAAGGAATTAAAGAAGAGCCAAAAAAATGGAGAGATAAACCATGTTCTTGAGTTAAAAAACTCAAGTTGTTAAGATGTCATTATGCCCAAATTAATGTATAAACTAAGTGAAATCCCAATCATAAATTTCAGGAGGGCTTTTGTAGAAATTGACAAATTGACTTTAAAATATAGAAGTATACAGAATAGCCAAAACATTTTGGAAGACTTAACTACCTAACTTTGACATTTAACATAAGGTTACAGTAATCAAGACAGTGTAGTCTTGTCATAAATGCAACATTTAGATGAATGAACATAATAGAGTCCAGAAATTGGCTGACACAAATACAGACAATTGATTTTGGACAAAGATGCAACGGCAATTCAATTGGGTAAGGATAATCTTTTCAACAAATTATGTTGAAGCAATTGGACATCAATATGTGGAAAATTAAAAAATTCAACTTAAACCTCATTCCTTAGACAAAAGTTAACTAAAAATGGACCATCGATCTAAACATAATTTTTTTTTTTTTTTGAGACGGAGTCTCACTCTCGCCCAGGCTGGAGTGCAGTGGCGCGATCTCGGCTCACTGCAAGCTCCACCTCCCAGGTTCACGCCATTCTCCTGCCTCAGCCTCCGAAGTAGCTGGGACTACAGGCGCCTGCTACCATGCCCACCTATTTTTTTTGTATTTTTAGTAGAGACGGCGTTTCACCGTGTTAACCAGGATGCCTCGATCTCCTGACCTCGTGATCCGCCCACCTCGGCCTCCCAAAGTGATGGGCTTACAGGCATGAGCCATCGCGCCTGGCCTAAACATAAAATTTAAAACTATAAAAGGTTTAGAAGAAAACATACAGAAAAATCTTCCCTATCTGGTGTTAGGCCAATAATTCTTTAAATGCGACATCCAAACTACAATTTATAAAAGAAAAATTTGAAAAACTGGACTTCACCAAAATTTAAACTGTTGTGCCTCAAAGGACACCATCAAGAAAGTAAAAAGGCAGCCCACAGAATATTTGTTGTGGGCGAAAATATTTGTAAATCATATATCTGATAAGGGACTTACATCCAGAATAAAGAACTCGTATACTGCAGTGATCGAAAGACAAATAAGCCACTTTAAAAGGAGCAAAGGATGTGAACAGATACTTCACTCAAAAAAGAAATATGGCTTGCCAATAATCACATGAAAAGATGCTCAATGTCATTACTCACTAGAGAAGTGCCAAGAGAAACTACAATGATCGACTACCTCATAGGCATTAGGACGGTAGCCCAAGCTATAATAAAAAAAAGATGGACAATAAACAAATATTGGAGAGGATGTGAGAAATTGGAACCCTCATTCAATAATAGGGAAAATGTAAAATGGTGCAGTCACTTTGGGAAACAGTTTGGTTAACTCCTCAAAAACTCAAAGTTACCATATGACCCAGCAATTCTATTCCTGGATATTTACCTGAGAGAAATGGAAATATATTGTCCCACAAAGCCTTTTTCCATGAATGTTGATAGCAGCATTGTTCATAGAAGCCAAAAAGTGGAAACAATCCCATGTCCATTAACAGATGAATGGATAAAAATGTGGTATATCCATGGAATGGACTATTGTTTTGCCGTAATAGGGAATGAAGTACTGATACACACTGTAACATGGATAAGCCTAGAAAATGTGCTGAGCATAAGAAGCCAGACACATATGGTATGATTCCATTTATATGACATGTTCAGAAAAGACCAAATCATAGAGACAGAAAGTAGATTAATGGAAGCCAGGGGGTGGAGGTAGGGGAGAATGGGAGCGAGTGTTAATGGGTACAGAGCTTCTTCTTCTTCTTTTTGTTTTTTTTGAGACGGAGTCTCCCTCTGTCACCCAGGCTGGAGTGCAATGGCGCGATCTCTGCTCACAGCAACCTCTGCCTCCCGGGTTCAAGTGATTCTCCTGCCCCAGCCTCCTGAGTAGCTGGGATTACAGGCACCTGCCACCATGCCTGGCCAATTTTTGTATTTTTAGTAGAGGCAGGGTTTCACCATGTTGGCCAGGCTGGTCTCAAACTCCTGACCTCAGGTGATCTGCCCACCTCAGCCTCCTAAAGTGCTGGGATTACTGGCATGAGCCACTGCACCCGGCTGGTACAGAGCTTCTTTTTGGGGTGATGAAAATGTTCTAGTGTGAGATCATGGGGATGGTTGCACAATTTTGTGAATGTACTAAAAACCACTAAATTGTACTTAAAAAAAAACCTAAAAATTGACAAGGATTACTCAGGCCTGTAATCCCAACACTTTGGGAGGCCGATGTGGCAAGATCTCTTGAACCCAGGGAGTTTGAGGTTATAGTGAGCTATGATTGTGCCACTGCACTCTAACCTGGGTAAAAGAGCAAGATCTTGTCTCTTAAAAATAAAAACCTATTAAAAACCCACCTATGCACAATTACACTGATATAGTTTGGATGTGTGCTCCAGCCCAAACTTCATGTTGCAATGTAATCCCCAATGTTGGAGGTAGGGCCTGGTGGGAGGTGTTTGGATCGTGGGGTTGGACTTCTCACGAGAAGTTTAGCACTATCCCTCTGGTGCTGTCTTCATGATAGTAAGTGAATTCTTGCGTGATTTGGTTGTTTAAAAGTGTGTGGCACCTTCTCTCTCTCTCTTGCTCTGGCTTTCGCCATGTGATGTGAAAGCTCCTGCTTCACTTTCTGCCATGATTGTAAACTCCCTGAGGCTTCCCTGGAAGCAGATACCAGTGTTATGCTTCCTGTACAGCCTGCAGAACCATAAGCCAATTAAAGCTTTTTTCTTATAAATTACCCAGTCTCAAGTGTTTTTTTATAGCAGTGCAAGAAGGGCCTAATTCAAACACCATGTAGCTTTCAAGGAGACGCACCTGTCTAAGGTAAACTTAGACATATTACAGTAAGTGCCCTTGGGGTGGAGGGGAAAAATAAAATAAGAACAACAGCAACAAAAACCCACAAAAAACTGTAAAAACAGAGAATACATCAGTGGTTGCTAGAGGGGGTAAGGGCTGGGCAGGATTTGACTACAAAAGAGCAGCATAAAGAAGTCTTTTGACCAGTGATGAAATTGTTCTGTATCCTGATTGTTGTGGTGGTTTCACAAATCTGTACATTTGTTAAAACTCACAGAATTGTACACCAAAAGTCATTTTTTAAAATGAATACAAAGTTTTTTTAAAAACAGTGTTCTGAGGCACCTATGTTTTTGTATTTATTATCTCTTAACCCTTTTCCATTTTTTCATAAAATTCCTGTCTTACTCTATGTGAGCAACCTCCCTTAGTTTGTTTTTTACTGCGGTAAGCTTTTATCAATTTGTTGGTTACTTCTCAGCCCATGTAAGGTGAGCTGCATAAATATTATTCAAGCTTTTGTAGGCAGAATTTCAGAGATAGATGGACCTTACATATTATTTACCTATTCACATATAAAGGTGTAGATTGCTTTGACATTAGAAGCTGCCTTAAAATGTTTTCAGCATTAGGCTTGAATATAGTCATTTGCCAGTAAAAACCCAAGGCCTGTGTTCAAAGGCAGAAGCTAATGATGTACAGGAGCTTCCATTCTGGGTTCATAATGTAACTGAACTCAGGTCCAGGCCCCTCATTGCTTCAAAGCCAAAATTTAAGGGACAAGCTTTTGGCAAAAATGAAAGTTAGCTTTATTTGCAAAGCCAACAACCTGGGGGGAAAGAGTGAACTTGTGTTCAAAGATCACCTCTCTGAGTTGTGCCTCCAGATCAGGAGGTTTTTAAGGCAAATTAGTGGGGTGCAAATGATGATCAAAGCATTCTTGTGAAATGTACATACTCTCAGGCAGGCAGTTAAATTATTACTTTCCTGGTCAATGTCCTGTGGCCTTCTGCAGGTGCTGTCAAGCTGTTCTTATCAGGCTGGTCAGCCATTCCCAGAGTCATTGGTCAGCGTATTTTCTTTTATCTCTGTTGAAGGTCCTGTTTTCCTGAGGCTGTTTTTAATGAATAATCTACAAACTCAAGGAAAACAATAATTATACTCAAGCAAACAAGCTTTTAACATGGAATCAGTACTGTTACAGTAATGCTTGCTGTCTGATGTTGACCATGACCATTATGGGTGGTATTACCACTTGCGTCAGGCTCTGTTTGCCGTGTATAATTTTAAGTGTCTTTTTTCAGAACATTGACTGTATTTGTAATTTCTGCCATACGTCAGTGGTGATCATCTTATTTTGGTTCTTCCTCTAATGTTGTAATATTGAAAAAATTGATATTTGCTCTTCATCCTGTTTCTTGACATATGTTCAAGTCAAAATAAAAATGTAGAGATGAATAGGGAATTCAAATTTAATGTTTTATTTGGGAAGGAAGAATTGTGATTTGGGGTATACATGCAGACTGGGTGGTCTTCAGTATGTCCGAAGAACAAAGAGGAGGATGGAGGTTTTACAAAAAGGAAAAATGTTATGTGTTACTCTTTGAGAATGTTCATTGGCCTAGTAAGGTTCTGGGGAGCTGGCAAGTATTAACTGGCGAGTGATGGTGGTGGGTAAAATTTGCCTTAGAATTGTAGGGGGTCATTTCAGCAGCTATAGATCAAACTGGTTCCAGGTTATAATAGGCAGTTTCAGTGGCTGGACTTGAGAGAATCGCATTTTTGGAGCAATGTTACATGCCTCCAGTATGGGGGCTGGGCACTGGAAAGATCAAGGTAGGGTTAGAGAGCTCGGACTTTCAGCTCCAACCCCCAGCCTCCTGGGAGGGGAGAGGAAAGGGGCTGAAGGTTGAGTTGATCACCAAGGGCCAGTAGTTTAATCAATGATGCTTACATAATGAAGTCTCCATAAAAACCCAAAAGGACAGGGTTTGAAGAGCTTCCAAATAGCTGAACGCATGGAGGTTCCTGGAGGGTGGTGTGCACTGGGAGGGCATCGAACCACTGCACCCCTGCCCATACCTTGCCCCACGCATCTCTTCATCTGTATCCTTTATAATATTTTTTATAATACCCTTTATAATAGACCAGTAAACATGGACCCTGACTTCTGTGAGCTGCTCTAGCAAAGTAATCAAATCCAAGGAGGGGGCTGTGGGATCTCTGATTTATAGCCGGTCAGTCAGGGCATGGGTAAAACAACCTGGGACTTCAGATAGGCGTCGGAAGTCAGGGGCAGCCTTGTGGGACTGAGCCCTCAACCTGCAGTGTCTGACACTATCTCCAGGTAGATAGTGTTGGAATTGGATTGGAGAATGCCCAACTGGTGTCTGCTGAAGAATTGATTGCTTGCCTCTTGGTGGGGACCCCCTCATCCAGTATTTGGTTACAAAAGTCTTCTGTGTAGATTGTTGTGGTGTGAAAGCAAAGGAAAAACAGTTTGTGTTTTCCACTCACAAATGTTCTTTGTGAGGCAGGGAATACGCAAGGGTTTCACCATAGCAGCTCTCTATCTGAAACCCTTGCTAGAGATGACATCACATACATTTCTCTGGGAATATATGTTTCTTCTGTGCCTGTGTAAAATTTAACATCAGAATAAATCTAACTGTGCCAATATCATAAAAAAGAGGATTGTTTATTTCAGTTGTAACATTGAGCTTTCATTTTGATTTCAACTGACTTTGTATTTCACTTTCAGTTTTTGATGACTATCTACGCACAGGCTATTTATAAGTATTTATAAATACTCCTAATTAAAGTATTGTAGGACTTTCTCTTCAGTTCAGCTAAAAACCAGGTTCTTGTCACACGACCAGGAAAGGTTAGGCTTGTGGACACCTAGAAGGGTGAGAAAAATGGAAATTATTGGGTGAAAAGGAAAAAGACTCTCCACAAAGCAAGAGGGGTTCCTGTTAACAGATCCCCATCTCACATATTGAATCCCAGGTCACCGCCCAGGAACAGGAGAGGCCAGGCTCCTCCCGGCTGCAAATGGTGTGAACTTCTCGAGGCCCTGCCCCATCCTCCCAGTGCACAGGCTGGTAGAAGGTTCTCTGGGGAGACCTTTTTACTTGGCTGTCTCGAAAACATAGAAATATCATACATTTTCGACACGCACATATGAATCACACAATAATCATGGTAGTTAATATTAGATTTAGATAATGAAAACATCCTTTTATGTACTTCCTTTGTCTTTTTTTTTCTTCTTCAGTTTTCTATTTTTCAACTAACATGTTGCTTTGTGTTTCATTGAAGATGTACTTTCTGATTTCCACATAGAGCTGCAAATGTCCAGTTCACATCACAACACCAAGGAGAAGCAGCTCCTTGTTTTTCCTTTCGCCACTTCACCCTCAGGTCCACCCTCAGCAGCCAGCTCTCTGGGATAGTCCTGATCTTCTCCCAGCACAATCAGTTAAAAATCCCATTGTAAATCCTGCTGTTGGGTAAATGGAAGTCAGTGCGTCAGAATGGCAATAAGCACTTACCAGAATGAATTGTATGCAAAAAAAATCTGATGCCTTTTCTGTAGGACTGTCTAAAAAAGAGGAAAATGGTTTAAATACTCATTTTATGCACTACTAGATATGTTTCTGAAAAACTGTGTGTGAATGGAAAACTTTGAACCTATTTCAAGTGCATAAGGGTACCTGACTACATAAATAAAACCTCTGGAGAATTCTTTTCAAAATGGTAGAATTAATCTCTATTTAGTCACTTTCTTAGTTTGGAATTTTATATGGTAGAACCCTCTGCATGCTAGAATGTGGTGAATTGTTTTTTTTCTAGCTTTAATTTTTGACAACCCTTTGAGAAGCCAGGAGAAATTAATCTAGATGTTGAGGACAGAGAGTCCATTTCAGGCTTTCTCATTTTTTGGCATCTTATATGGGGCAAATCCTTGTGAAGAGGGTTCAGGGTGAAGAGGGCTAATTAGGCCTCATGATTAGGGGAGGAAGGAACCACAGGATAGAGCCTGCGGGACGGAGCTTGTCAGGGAGGGCTTGGAAGTGCAGAGGTGACCTTGGATGGTGCAGACCAGTGATCTTAAAAACATTTCAGCTATGGAACCCATTCTTCAAAGAAGTCGTACTCAGAAGTCTGATACATTAAACATGTAAAAGCCAAGCTGCTCTGCCTGAAGCGATGTGGGGAGCCTGGAGTCCTGCTGAGGAAGGGTATTTTGACCATGCTGTTTAATGCGTGTCACTGATTAGAGGGTAAAGCAACTGCTACATAAGTCTGTCTCTTCTATGCACCAGCTGTGTGACTTGGGTCAGCTGCATCACCTCTGTGAGCCTCAGGGCCCTAATCTGTGAAATGAAGGTTAAGCACTACCTCTCTAGTTTCATGTAAGGGCTTAAGAAACTAACACGGCACTGTGCTTGACACAGGTTGTCTGTACATGATAATTTGACAAATGTTAAAACCATTGCTCCTTCCCACCAACCCATCAGCTTCCTACCTGACCTAAAATTTCCATCCAAAAAAAAATCACTAACAGATTTCACAACAAAGGCAGGGGGACTTGTCTCCAGAAGGAACCATTAACATGGAAATATTGCCTCTGAAGAGAAAAGTTTCTGTTGTTTCTTCTCTGGGCTTCTTTAGTTGACATTCGGGTTTAAGAGTTGATATTGTTAGAGCCATAATCACAAGCACAGGTTCTTAGAACTGTGATAAAAGAGCACCGAGTCAACAAGTTTTACATGTATGAAAACTGAGTGTTCAAGAGGTTATTGCGTACCCAAGGCCAAGCAATCACAGTGGAAGGACATGGATTATTCACATTTCTAAGTTCTGATTTAGATTCATTTTACTATTAGGTTGGTGCAAACATAACTGCAGTTTTTGCCACTAAAAGTAATCACTTTTATACCAACCTAATATAAGAAGCTGTTTTTAGAAACTGGAAGCAAGAATTCACTGAAAAGAGGCACAAGGAAAATTTCTGAGCTGATGGAAATGTTCTTTATCTTGATGGGGATGTAGTTTCCATGGTTTTGATGCATTTCTCAAAATTCATTGAACTGTACATTTAAGATCTATGCAATTTACTATAAAAAATTATGTCTCCATTTAAAAATGAGTAAGTGTTATGTATCCCCCCAAATTCATGTGTTTAAATCTTAATTCTCAGTACCTCAGAAAGTGACCTTACTTGGATGTAGGGTTTTCACAGAGGTAATCAAAATAAAATGAGGTCATTAGAGTGGGTCTTAATTCAATAAGCCTGCTGCCTTTATAAGAAGGGAATATTTGGACACAGAGGCTTATGAAGAGATGACAGCCATCCACAACCCATGAGAGGGGTCTGAAACACGTTTCTCTCCCAGCCCTCAAAAAAGAACCAATCCTGCCAACACCAAGATGTTGGCAGATATACCTTAAATAAAGGTATTTTATATAAGGTGTATCTCTTATAAGGAACATAATATTTATTTTTTTTCCTTTCAGACAAGATCAGTTGTGTTCAGGGTGGTATGGCCATAGATGGTTTCTTCTTTTCAATTCAGACTAATAATCTTAATTTTTAAATTGAAGCATTCAGTCTATTTGTATTTAATGCAACTCCTGACATATTTCAATGTATTTACTTTTTTCTTAATTAACCAGGCCAGTTTTGTGTTCTTTTTTGCTGTTTGGTATTTATATTATTTTGATTTTATAAATGAGCAATCCTTGACTTTGAGAGGTAATACAAATTAACTAAGTTCGTATCCTGGTAAATAGCAGAGTTCCTGAGGAAAGAAAACAGAAAACTGGCCAACAGGACAGTGTGGTAGAGGAGAAAGAGCTCTGGGATTAGAATCCAAAATACCAGCTCCCCACTGAACTGCTGTGTGACTTTCTCCAGTCTACTTCCTTTTCTGAAAGTTAAGAGTGATGATACATATCCTACCAACCACTCTGAGTGGTTCAGTTCACATGAGAAGTGAAAGTGCTTTGTGAATTGGTTTTCCACAGGACTGGGCCCTGTTTGAGGGGTGGAAACAGGAGGTTGGTAGAGAGACCTGCCCAAGGTGACTGAAGAAAGGATGGGGAGTCATCACGTGAGGACAGGGATTTGAGGGCAGGCAGCTCCCGCACAGCAGGCGGGCTCCAGAGGCAACTCATGGAGTGTTGCACTTCTTTGTTTATTTATTTTTTCCTTATTGCTATTAATCTAAAATTGTTCACGTTTCTCTTTCAGAACACTTTTAGATTGGAAAGATTTTGATCATCTCAAAAGTCTTGGATATAAAAATTCAGTCTGTGTGGCAGGGAACAGCTCACTCCTGACTGGTTGAAGATAGGAGGTTGAAGAAATAAATGAACTTGAAGCAGACTTGAAGTTTCATGCCTGAGATCCTAAAGTAAGATAATGTTTGTAAGGCTGATTGCTAATCAAGATGCCTTATTTCTCAGATTTTTTTAATCTGAATTATTCCTTCCTCAACCAACATCCCGATTTAGGAGCTGTTATAAGTCATCACTCAAGATAAGGATTTAAAAGGACTGGATTGCAAATGCAGCCAGCAAAGCTTAGAAGCCTAAAGGGGTGGGAAAATGAACTCCCCAATATGGGAAATAAATGGCAGTTCTGATGATTGGCAAAGCGGTCTGGCTTCTTCCAGAAATATTTATAAAGGCATAAATTAATGGCATTCCAGTTTCTCAAGGAGAATGAAAATAAAAATCCCCAAACATTCTAATTTCTCTAAGAGAATATAAACATAAAAGCAAGAGGGTCCTAACAGTGTCGCTCGTATCCACAGTGCTTCTGTGCAGAACCGTCTTCTCTGCACAGTTTCCTGCAGCCATCATGGCAAAAAATAGAATGATGGGAAAGATATTCCCTTCCAAATCAGGAGATTCCATGCTATGGGTTTCTTAACAACCTTCTCAGGTTAAGAACTTCAACAGAAATTGTAAGTTGAATAGATGATCTGGCGAGGAGGGGGATAGAGAGTCACTTGCAATGTCATTTCAATAATTAACAATCCGTTTATATACAAATAACTCCCAAATGTTGAGAAAGTGGGAAAGTACTTTCACCACCATTTTATAGATAACTCAGTTTTATATAAAAAGCTAAGCATAAACATATTCTAAATGAACTGAAAAAGTCCTGAATAAAAACACGTTCTACATGAAGTGAAAGAATTCTCATTCTCACCTTATACAAAGCATTTAAATGAATTTCTTTGGAACAATTCCGTTTGATAAGTTTCTAATATGTAAGGTTACTTATTTTCTCCTGAGAACAAATACAAGATTTCTGGGTCAGAGACACGCTGATTGTTTACTTATAGGATATCTTGGTGTTGGTTTTCCAGTCCCCCGTTTCCCCTTTGGGTGATTCTATGGGAGCAGATGTCACCCTGGATGTACAGAGGTGTAGAAGGAGAATACAATATGGAAGAACTCCCAAATTGTGAATGCAAGTGCTTATATAGGAACTGCTGGTTCCTATACAACCTATTCAAATGTTGGTTCAGGTGCTCCCTCCTTTTTAGGGGGAAGGAGGGAAACCTTATGTTTTTAATGCAAAGAAATCCTCTGTTGGAAAAAAAGCAAAAGGTCCTAGATGTTATAGCTCTTTAAAATATAAATGTTAGGCTCAGGAATTTATTACCATTTGAACTGTAAATAAAGAAACCCAGAGGCAAATAAACCTGTAAATCTCTCAGGAGTAATTCACTGTCTCCAACTTCCAAGGCGTGGCTGTTGATCAACTTGTTGTTAACCCAAGTTGCTGGTAGTTTTTGCTCAGGAAGCCATGACTCTGCGGAACACAAAAAATACTGGTTATTTCTTAACACCATAAAATGTATTTTGGTAGCATTGTATTTCCCATGCATGGACAAGTAATTATTTTATCTGGAGGCTGCACAGCATAAGAGTGTAGAAGATAATGGTGAAAAGTAACTGGATTATGAAAAGTCCTGAATGCTAAAAAGTTTGGACAATATATGTGTAGACAATGGGTAATCAATGAATATCTCTGACCTCCTAAATTTAGAGGAGGAGTGTTATCAGATACAGAAGGAACAAACTACGTGACCACATCAGCACAGAATAAGAGACTTTCAAAAAAGTGAGGGTCAGAGTCCGTAGGAGTAAAAAAGTAGGAGAATAGGAGGAATGGGAATGGCAAGAGATTCAACAGTGTCAAACCCTTCATTTTTGAGGAAAACAAGAGGGCTGAAGCCCAAGAGAAGGCCCTTAGGAATTCACTTTAGATGAACTCTGTATTCTCTCTCTCTTTTTTTTTTTCTTTTTTTATGAGACAGAGTCTCGCGCCATCTCTCAGGCTGGAGTGCAGTGGCTCCATCTCGGCTCACTGCAACCTCTGCCTTCCAGGTTCAAGTGATTCTCCTGCCTCAGCCTCTGGAGTTGCTGGGACTACAGGCCCCCGCTATCACGCCTGGCTAATTTTTGTATTTTTAGTAGAGACAGGGTTTCGCCATGTTGGCCAGGCTGGTCTCGAACGCCTGGCCTCAGGTGATCCACCCGCCTCGGCCTCCTAAAGTGCTGGGATTACAGGTGTGAGCCACCATGCCCAACCGAACTCTTTATTCTTAGTAAAAGTTCTGAATGACGTCATCTGCTGCTGAGTGTGTATGGGGCATAGAGAAAGGTAGCAAAGGGGCACGATGAGGAAAGAAAGTATTTATTCACAGAAGAAAAATTTTAATTTTTTCATCATGTTTTCCTTAAAGTTTTCTAAGTGTTGCCATTTATCTCAAGTTTGTCATATTCTTGAAACCGTGGAGCCCTACGTGAAGGCCTAGCAAAAGCTGAAAGCAGGCAGTGGGGTTACCTAGGGTTGGGGCCTGGTCAAACAGTTACAAGAAGAATCAGCATGTGAAAAAGTCTAGGGTGACACTACACACATTAATGAGATGGCCGAGTGTGGTTAAAGATGGCTTAGGGATTGTGAAGAAAGTGAGAAGCAGAGAGACCAGAAACCCTAACAATAGTAACAACCAGGGCCAGCATGAACGAGGGAGTGGAAGTGGAGAAACCCTGCCATTTAAAGTCAAGGAGTGGAATGCAGGGTTAAGGTCTGAGAAGAGGGTGGTGAGTACAGAGAAGAGTTGAGCAGCTTCAGTTCTTGATCATAATCCCTCCAAAGATCAAGGTCAGCAAGAGTGAGAGGGTGGAAGAATAGGAAAAATGGTAAAGGAAAGAGGTTCAGGTAAAAGGGGCACATTTCAAGCTTTGGGTATTAGAAGAAGTCTCAGTGATGAAGAGGTCGATGGTATAACCATGCTGGGGAGGAGGCATTAAGGCCCTGGATTTATGGAGGCACAGGAATCAGGAAAGGGATGAGTATGTGTTGGGCACATTTAAAGCTGAGTGGGATATAATGGACAGGGAGTACAATGAGAGAAAGGAAGGCTGGAGATATGCTGGAGATGAGTGGGTCTTTGGGGCACAGTTACATTTTACTCTAAGATGAGGATGTAGAACTTGTCATTCTCAGAGTTCTAACTGGAGTGCTGGCATGACAACATGATGCAGTGGCTCTCTGAAAAGCTTTTCCTTAACTTACTGGGCTTGGCACTATGGATTCTGTGGAGCTTCAGTTAGAAAGTAGGAAAGGTTTGAACTGCAGTCCTGATATGATAAAAGTGAAATGAAAGTTGGTACAGCTGGTATATTTCAAAAATAATTGTATTTCAAAAATAATTGCTTGAAATTATTTTTCAGGATGTGAAAAAGTCTAGGGTGACACTACACACATTAACGAGATGGCCAAGTGTGGTTAAAGATGGCTTAGGGGTTGTGAAGAAAGAGAGAAGCAGAGAGACCAGAAACCCTAACAGCAGTAACAACCAGGGCCAGCATGGGATATATTTGAATGTATTTCAAAAATAATTGCTACTAAAAATTATTACATTTCTTATTGTTCCTTAATTTCTTAAAATTTAATTTTCTAAAGAATCAGAGTAAAACACATTCAATATGTGCTATTATCAAAATAATATTGCACATATTTTAATGAGTATTGCTTGTAAAGCTTATTCTAACAATATTTATAATATCACTGAGGATAGTATCAAGGAAGGGGAGGTATGGCATATATGAGAAGTTGTTTTTATCTTTAGTTTCAGTAGTACACATCAACAAATATTTCACCCAAGACCAAATCTAAATATTCTATTGTAATATTCTGATCCTTTAGAGACTTATGCTCATCCATACAAAGTTCATGCTAATCTTGCTTACTTTCAGAAACCATAATATTTTTACACTTTTGTCTCCAAGCAAAATCAGCGGTAATTAATGTAAATTGAGGATGCCATTGTGGAGAGCTGTTTCTTACCAGTCTCTCACACTGTAACTGTCCTGCATAGAATCTTAATGGATTCACTTCAAGTTTCCGTGAAAGGGTCATGAGAGAAGCTTAATGTGTTTGTGTCATATCAGGATCAGTGTGGTCTGTTGCTACAAAAAGGCCCAAAGCTGGCCAGGCTTATAGTTTCAAGGCTCCAAATAAAATTTATTCTCAGTGATCTCAGATGTTCCTGTGGGAATGGCATGTTCTGGTAGAACCATGTCTTTAGAGTTTTTAGGCTGGACAAAGCCGCACATTTCTGTCGTAGCCTAGATCATTAATAAAGAACTCTTGGCAGTATCCCAGCTCTGAGGTAGGCATGGGGAGTAGAGGCAGTAGAATGTGATGCTTGTGTTTATGATTTGACGCTGGGCTTTGGAAACTTGCTCATCTCTCTATCTTACTTACTTTATATTCTTATTGTCTTAGTCTGTTTCAGCTGCTATAACAGGGCACCACAAACAGAGTAGCTTGTAAAGAAGAGAAGTTTATATCTTACAGTTCTGGAAGCTGGGAAGTCCAAGATCAAGGCAGGTCAGTGTCTGGTGAGGGCCTGCCTTCTGGCTTATAGATAGTGTCGCCTTGCTGTGACCTCACATGGTGGAAGGGATAAGGCCTCTTTTATAAGGACACTAATCCTATTCATGTGGGCTCTGCCCTTGTGACCTAATCACCTCCCACAGGCCCCACTCCTAATATCATCATCTTGGCAGTTGGAATATGTATTTTGGGGGAAGACACAAAAATCACACCATGACACTTACATTAATTCTTAGTTTCTTTTTTACTTTTTTTTTTTTTTTTTTTTGAGATGGAGTCTCACTTTGTTGTCCAGGCTGGAGTGCAGTGGCGTGACCTTGGCTCACTGCAAGCTCCGCCTCCTGGGTTCATGCCATTCTCTTGCCTCAGCCTCCCAAGTAGCTGGGACTACAGGTGCCAGCCACCACACCCAGCTAATTTTTTGAATTTTTTTTTTAGTAGAGATGGGGTTTCACCGTGTTAGCCAGGATGAGTCTCGATCTCCTGACCTTGTGATCCCCCGCCTCAGCCTCCTAAAGTGCTGGGATTACAGGCATGAGCCACTGCGCTCAGCCTAGTTTCTTATATTCGTAATATAAGAATACTGATAGTACTTACAAGAATGCTCTAGTCTAGTCTAATCTCATCATATCTAATGAGCAAACCTGGGTTTTAGAATAAATATTACATTCCAGGATTACAGGATTTTTTAAAAGGTAAAATCATGATTGTCATGCAAATATAAACTAAACATATATTAAAGATTTCATTTAACCCATTAATGAGAGAAACAGTACAATATTGTAATTATGAAAAAGGAGAATTCAGAGGAATGCTGAGATGAATTTCCAAATAGAAATAAAACTGGTCAATATTTACAGGGCAATAATCAATTGCATTCTTCTGAAAACAATCTACATTGCTGTAGACAAGAATCATTTGTATTACATCAATTCTCTACAAGTCTTTCATAACTTTTCAGATATAAATTATATAAAGGACAATGGTTTTTAAAGATACAAATTTAGACTGGGCGCGGTGGCTCACGCCTGTAGTCCCAGCACTTTGGGAGGCCAAGGTGGGTGGATCACCTGAGGTCAGGAGTTCAAGACCAGCCTGGCCAACATGGCAAAACCCTGTCTCTACTAAAAACACAACATTTAGCTGGGCATGGTGGCGCATGCCTGTAATCCCAGCTACTAGGAGGGCTGAGGCAGGAGGATCACTTGAACATGGGAGGCGGAGGTTGCAGTGACCTGAGATCATGCCACTGCACTCCAGCCTGGGCAACAGAGTGAGACTCCATCCCCTCCCCTGCCAAAAAAAGATGCAAATTTAAAAAAGTTAGCTGCCCACTGAGAAATAAACAAAATTGATTATTAAATAAGTAATATTATTATTATTATTAAATAAGTAATACCATTAATTAAGTGAAAATCATGTTGAAAATGTCTCTCTTTCTGCCTTTGGCTCATTGCTGTACTTTAACAGCAGATATATCTTAAGGAAGAGTACTAAAGCTCAGAGTCATCTAAATGTGATGATCTCTGCTGTTTTCTAGGTCACCTCTCTCTGTTACTGAGGGATGCTGGCTTAGGAAATGTGCACTAACTTTATTGTCTCCATAAGAAATATATACAATAATGCATCAATTAATGATAAGCACCAAGAAATGCAGCTTAGGCAATTTCATTTTTGTGCAAACATCATAGACTGTACTTACACAAACCTAGATAGTATAGGCTACTCCACACCTAGGATATATGGTAGAGCCTATCGCTCCTAGGCTACAAACTTGTACAGCATGTTACTGTACTGAATACTACAGGCTGTTGTAACACACTGGTAAATATTTCTAAATCTAAACATAGAAAAGTTACAGTAAAAATTCAGTATAAAAAATAAAATATGATATGCCTATATAGGGCACTTACCATGAATGGAGCTTGCAGGACTGGAAGTTGCTCTGGTGAGTGAGTGAGTGGTGAATGAATGTGAAGGCCTAGAATGCTGTTGTACACTACTGTAGGCTTTATAAACACTGTACACTTTGGCTACACTAAATTTATATAAAAAATTTCTTCTTCAATAATAAATTAACCTTAGTTTACTGTAACTTTTTGACTTTGTAAACTTGGAATTTTTAAAACTTTTTGACTCTAGCAATGGAACTTAGCTTAAAACACAAACACACTGTATAGTTATACAAAAATATTTTTCTTTCTTTATATCCCTATTCTAAAAGTTTTTCTGTATTTAAAATTTTGTATTACTCTTTCAACTTTTTTATAAAAACTAAGACAAAAGCACACATTAGCCTAGGCCTACACAGAATTGGGATCATCAATATCATTGTCTTTCACCTCCATACTTTATCCCACTGGAAGGTTTAGGGGCAATAACACACATGGAGCTGTCATCTTCTATGACAACAATGCCTTCTGAAATACCTCGTGCAGGACCTGCCTGAAGCTGTTTTACATTTTTTTTATAAGTAGAAGGTGTGCACTAAAATATTGATAACTATTATAAAATGGTAAATATATAACTATGTAACAGACATTTATTATCAAGTCTTATGTACTATACATAGTTGTATGTGCTAGACATTTATATGACTGACAGCGCAGTAGGTTTGTTTACACCAGCATCACCACAAACACGTGAGTAACGCCTTGCACTATGCCCACATAAGGATAGCTATGATATCACTAAGCAATAGTAATTTTTCAGCTCCATTATAATCCTATGGGACCACTGTTGTACATGTGGTCTGTGGTTGATGGAGAGGTTGTTATTGGGGCATGACTGTAGTTAGGAAGATGCTTTTTCCCAAAGAGACAAAAAGACATCATCATAAAATTAAATATAAATTTCTGCATTTGAGAGTTACTTGAGCAGCTTAGAGACAAGCAACTAGGATTCAAAGACCCGAGTCTTCTACAGCCAAGGCCAAAGTCATTTGATATTGTCAAATCTCAGTTGTTTTATTTAAATGGGAATGGTCACAATAATACTAACCTCAAAATGTTGTTAGAAAGATGAATTAAATAATTTATGTGGAAGAACCCTATAAACTGGAAAGTTTTATTCACATGGTAGCTGTCATTACTATTTTAATCTACTAGATTGAGTTACACTGTCTGTACCACAGAGAAACAGGCACTCTGCATGTGGAGGAGCAGATGGTAAAGTGGGGCGGTAACCCCACCTCTGAAAGTAATTTGCTATGTGACCCTGGACAAGTCATTGAACCTTCAAGGCTTTCATTGCCTCTTTGTCCCTTTTTATTTAGCGGACGAATTGTGAGTTTCTACTGAAGTAATAACTGCCACTCAGAAATCTACAAAGTACTCTACAAGTGTAAAACATTGTCATTAGTGTCAACAATGTGTTACATTTGATTTTACCAAAATGGAATTAGATTTTTTTATTTATTGGTTATGTATAAATATAAAATATTTTTCTTTATTTAATTCATACATACCAATTAAAAATAATATGTGACTCAAAAGGAAAGTCCCCAGTATCATTCTCTTGCTCAGGATTTGGCTAATGAAATATGAGAGAATCTCTGCTATCATTTTCATTTGGAGTCAAAATTTTCATAATGTTAAAACCACAGCTGAAGGAAATCTCCCATTAAAGTGAAATGGCATTTGTAGCTAGGTCATTAAGGGTGGTTTCTTTAGAAAGGATTGTCTAAAAAAAAAAAAAAAAAAGACATTCACGTGAGTCCTGAAATAGGATTTTAATGATGCTACATGGCCCAGGAAGCCAAAAAGTAATTTAAAGGAATTTTTCCAGCTTTTTTGTGTTCTGATCCCAAAGTAGTACATATGAGATATAGCAATGATTTTAAAAAATGTGCCCATAAAAACTTAAAAATAGTAGAGTAAAATAATAAGCATCATATGTTTCTAAAAACTAATATATCAATAACTAGTACTCATATTCCCCAATTCCTTGATTATTTATTTTATTTTATTTTTTCTGAGACAGAGCCTTGCTCTGTCGCCCAGGCTGGGGTGCAGTGGCGTGTTCTGGGCTCATTGCAAGCTCTGCCTCCTGGGTTCACGCCGTTGTCCTGCCTCAGCCTCCCAAGTAGCTGGGACTACAGGCGCCCGCCACCATGCCCGGCTAATTTTTTGTATTTTTAGTAGAGACAGGGTTTCACCGTGTTAGCCACGATGGTCTCGATCTCCTGACCTTGTGATCCGCCTGCCTCGGCCTCCCGAAGTGCTGGGATTACAGGCGTGAGCCACAATGCCCGACCTCCTTGATTACTTTTTATTTTCTTAGGGAATTTCCTGGTGCAAAAATGGTACAGCTTTCAAAGCATTCACTCCTTGATTGAATTTCACCATTTTTAGTTTATACCAAATTATAGCAATAGATTATATGATTTTCAAACTTATTTAGCTTGTACTGTTATTAGGAATTCTAGAGTAATTATTGAGATGTGACATAAACACTTATACATAAAAAGGCAAACCCAGCTTTATCACCACATTCAAAACAGTTTACTAAATTTTGAGTTAAAAAACTTTTAGCTTATTTTTGAAGACAAGTTTAATGGTAATTCTAGCTTTTCATCTTTGCTGATAAAATGGGGTGTTACACTAGCATGACGTGGGATAACCAAACTTCTGACGAGTCATTTGCAACAACATGGATGGAACTGGAGGTCATTATGTTAAGTGAAATAATCATGGCACAGAAAGACAAACTTTGCATGTTCTCACTTGTTTGTGGAAGCTCAAAATTAAAACATTTGAACTCATGGAGATAGCGAGTAGAAAGACGGTTACCAGAGGCTGAGAAGGGTAGTGGGTAGGGTAGGGGGAAAGTGGGATGGTTAATGGGTACAAAAAAATAGAAAGAATGAATAAGACCTTAGTATTTGTTAGCACAACAGGGTGACAATTGTCAATAATAATTTAATTGTACATTTTAAAATAACTGAAATAATATAATTGAATTGTTTATAACACAAAGGATAAATGCCTGAGAGGATGGATACCCCACTTACCATGATGTAATTATTATGCATTATATGCCTATATCAAAGTATCTCATATACTCCATATGTACCTACTATGTACCTATATATATGAAAAATAAAAAATCAAAAAAAGAAACATTGTAGGCACTTTAAGATGTACAGAAATGAACACATGGACATATATTTATCTTGTCCTTTTGAAACTTCTAAACATGGAAACCATTTCAGTATGAGTGTTAATACCCTGACAAGTAGAAATAAACATACCACTATTTTCCCTTATTCCAATCATCTAAACCTTTGTTTTGCCATTTATATTGACTTCCACATGACTATTACGTTCAGAAGTTCAACCTTTATTTCCACCCCTACTCACCCACTACCACTTCCATCGTGGCCATTGCCACCATTACCAACATGCCTAACAGAAATACCGAGATACAACACACAGAACTCCACTTGTCCCAGTCTTCAGTAATCCTGCATGTGTTACCAATTCTTAAGTGAGTAGTGAGTGAAAGAGCAAAACCCGTTGATTGTCTACAAGTTATTCATAAGAGCAAAAGTTACCACTACTAATTGCAGTTGAATCTCACACCCTCTGTCCCTTTTTAGTACAAATTGTAGTCAGAAATTGCAGTAATGCTATTTTGGTTATAACACTTCAAGGCATTGCCCCCCTCATGTGTTTTCTAGACCAATGCTTTCCCAAAAGTATATTCATGGAATGCTTTATCCTGGGAAAGCTCTACCGGAAAATTTTCTTGGAAAATTCTTTTGTTTTTGTTTTTAGAGACAGGGTCTTGTTCTGTTGCCCAGGCTGGAGTGCAGTGGTGGAATCATACCTCTCTGCAGGCTTGAACTTCTGGAGTCAAGTAATCATCCTACTTCAGCCTCCTAAGAAGCTAGGACTACAGGTGCACACCATCACACCTAGCTAATTTTTAAAGATTTTTTTTTGTAGCATCAGAATCTCGCTATATTGCCCAGGCTGGTCTTAAACTCCTGGCCTCAGGTGATCCTCCTGCCTCAGACTCCCAAGAAAATTCTGAATATTCCTTTCCTGAAAAGTCATGAGTTAACATCTATTAATGATTCTTGTAACAAAGGAACCTATTTTGTGTAACTCAGCATTTCCTAAGTTTATTTGACCACTGGACTCCTCACTGACCTCACTTAATGGGCAGCTATGAACATCCCTCAGACCTTGTATTTCCAGGAAAGACACTCCGGTAAATGCTTCTCTTGACTGACAAAAGAGAGAATCCATTTAGATGAATGACACATCCTCCCTAAACTTGAAAGTCCCAATAGCTCCAGGAAGAGGCGGTGGCACCACAACTAAATGAGTGTCGAGAAGGAAAGGGTTTATTTGAATCACAAGACTGCTTGATCAGTGATAAACATTCCACTTACTGAGGAAGAGTAGACTCTTCTTGTCAAGATCTTGTCAATCTTGGCAAGAGCTGGGTTATGCTGTGGATGGAGCTGGAGAGCCCTTTGACTGCATTTTTTGTCCCTGCTGTGTCTCTTGTCAGGGTTTCAAGGTTGTTCGGGGCACTCGCATGGTGCAATATGACTTAAAAAATAAGAAATTTATTTTCTAATTAAATTTTTTTCTGATTTATGTATTTTTATTTTGGTAAGATAGATATAAAATTTACCATTTTAACTAAATTTAACTAAAAACTAGAAATGTTAAACTACAATTGTTCAAATACCCCTAAGTGTGGCATAGTTTGCTTGTTCTCTTTTTCCCCCGGGTGTTCCATGACTAAAATAAAAAACTGAATTTGTCCTTTACTTTCACTTTAGAAAGGATATGAATGTGCCAATCTTTATGGTCACCTTTTTTGTTTTTTAAAAAATAGTTTTTTAAAGGTTATTTTAACATTTTACTGCTGGAGATAAATTTGGCATTGATCTGATACATATTAGTATAAATATAGCCCTTAAGTAATGGAAGATTTAGAAATATTTACAGAGCTAGCATGATTAAATAAACTTCAACCTTTTATGGCTTATTGAGATACTTTCAAGTTCTTTTGGTAGAAAATTCTCACAAGGAGCAGAGTTTCTGGCCTGGTGGTATTGCTGACAACCTGCTTATCTAGTGCCTTCTATTTACACATGATGGTGGGAATTCTGTGGTTTGGATACGAGAGATTTACATAAACACCTTTGGATCAGGGCATCAGTAAAGCTGGTGTTACTAAGAAGAAGGCTACACAAAATTCATGCATGAAAAATGAAAAATAAATCGTATCTCTAAAACGGTACTTCAACTGGATTCATTATTTTGTTTTATTTCCTTCTTCTGCCACGAGGATACACCTTGTCTGATGTAGTTCATAGCATGAAAATCCTGGCAAAACACATAAAAATAAAAATATTAAGTGATGCACAATTCCATATAAAAAGGCCAACAGTCCCAAAGTTCAAAACCAAGTTCAAAGGAGGTCTCCATGTGCATGCATCAATACAGAAAATTTGGGCTGCTATAGGAAACAAGGGGATCAGCTTACTTCCTACACAATAAAAAGCCAAATTAGCACAGCTACATAATGTAGCTGTTTCTGCTACATTTAGAGTGGACATATTTGGCAATTTAATAGGTCCTCTTCATCTTTGTTGCCCAAGGAACAAAACTGTGGAGCTAACTGAATGTAGAAAAGCCAAGATAATGTCCGAGTGATAAAAGCAGGACCTGTGCTTGTCTAATCCCTTGATAAGCAGAAGCCATCCTTGCTCCCCATTCTGCCCTATTTAAGAAGATCAATTTAATTTTGGAGCAGAAGAAGTTCTACTAAAAGGCCAAAGAAGACAAATTGCATTAGCTTAAAAGGCCCATACTCCAGCTTAGGAAGCTGTTTTGAGAAACATACTGTAAGAGGCAGCTGGACAGAGAAAACACACGGAGCTGCTACTTCTTTGCGAACATCTCTAATTGGCAAAGACAGTTCTAGGGCTTTTTCTTTTTCTTTTCTTCTTTTTTTTTTTTTTTTTTTTTTCCTGAGATGGAGTCTTGCTCTGTCGCCAGGCTGGAGTACAGTGGTATAATCTCCGCTCACTGCAACCTCTGTCTCCTGGGTTCAAGCGATTCTCTTACCTCAGCCTCCGGAGTAGGTGGGACTAGAGGCGTGCGCCTCCAAGCCCGGCTAATTTTTGTATTTTTAGTCGAGACAGGGTTTCACTATGTGGCCAGGCTGGTCTTGAACTCCTGACCTCGTGATCCGCCCGCATCGGCCTCCCAAAGTGCTGGGATTACAGGCGTGTGCTGCCATGCCCAGTCTCTAGGGCCTTTTATATTCACCAAGCATATGTCAGCAGTAACTGAGGGACAGCAAAATCCAAGAGCTGTCCTGAGAAGTGAAAGAATATTGTAACTACCACCACCCCTCCCCACCACACACAAAATCCTTATGTGCTGAAAATAATACTCCTGTGCACCTTTCATGCCCGTGAAAGATCCTGGTTTCTAAGGCTCAAAAAGTACACTGTTACTCCCTGGAAGTGATTACAAAAAGCATCCTCAGCCAGAACCTACTTGCTTAGGTAAAGCTCTCTGACCTCTAACAGATTTAAGGCGTGTCCAGTGAATACGCTGATGGCAATTCCCATGCTCATTGTTTCCTTGATTTCAAGCAAAGCATCCCTGGGACCTTCTCTTCCCTTTATTACAGAAAAGACATTTTTAAAACTTGATCTTTTTCTCTTGATCCTTATTTCTCTGGATTTGGGGACCTTGGAGTAAACATCTGAGGTAAAAGCACTCTGGGAAAAGTCAGACCAAATTTTATATGAGCTTCTCCCTCAGGTTACCCATGTGTTAAGGTGCCTGATTGCTCTCCAAGAAACTGGTCCTCTCCTGCTGGTCCTCAGCCCACCTTCTGAGATTTTATATTCACTCATGATTCCACTGCCAGGTGGACAGTCATGATCACTAACTACAGAATTGTTTTTCTCTTCTTTTTCTTTTTGATTAGGAACAGAAAATAAGTTTACTCTGAGCTCTCCAAACCAGGAGCAAACATCAAGATGAAGAAGAAAAAATATATAAGCACTGTGAGCAGAGAAGTCCTTTAATATATATTGTGCTCAGAGTCTGAGTAGAGACTTTGTTATAACAAATAGCCCTGGACTAGAATAGGCTCGTTGGCATTTATTGTAATTTACTGATTTTATTACCAAGCACAGTCCTCCATATGGATAATATGTAGACATTTTTTTTGTTCTTGGTAATAGCAAAGGTCTGCAGGTAATATCCTCTCGTTCTCCAGGAAAAAATTTCTGCATACTTAACCCAACCACAGGCAAGCACTACATTATTTACAAAACAAAGCTGAATTTTATTAAAAATATTCTTCAAGGGCAAGTAAAAGTTATCACTTTGATTATAAATTTAGTTTTATAAAACATATATTTTTCTCTATCACACACTCATGCAAAGATAAAACCTACTTTGTGTTTTTCTTCTTTAATTAAACGTGTTTGAATTATATTGGAGCTCAAGGTCTTCAGAAAAGCCAAGTGGGGATTATTTCTACTGGAAAGTTGAATAATTTAAGAGATTTGTTCCCATGTCAATTGTCAGAATAAATGTAAGCATATCTTGAATCTGACTTCTTTAGGTATGTCATACAAAGGTTCTGTTTGTAGTTTTTTGTGAACCCATAGAAAGAAACTTAGAGTTCCACTGATATAAAAAACAAATACTTCACTGAACTGGAAAAGACTGGTGAGTTCTAGCCCACTTTTGAAGACCCAGTGTGAATACCATTTGGTTGCTCTCAGCATTTAAAAAAATCATTTTTGCTCATCAGATGAATTAAAAACTTTTATTGTAAGAGCACGTATAGCATACTCAAGCAAAAAAATTTTTTCACTTTAAAAGACAAATATAAGTACAGAGAAAAATAATTCTGCATAAATAAGAGACAGCTGTCACAGAAAAAATCTGTAATCTATTGATAATGTTAATCTAATATTGGAAAGCTTAAATGTTTGATAAACATAACATGTATTTAAGCATTTAAGAGGCTCTTAATTTGCATCTAACAACATTTCATTAAGCAAAAGTAAAGTAGGTAGGCAAGAAAATTATTTCCTTTCCTCCAAGCCATTGCATTTGCTTAAGAGAAAAATAAAATGCAGGAATAAAATAAATCCAGATGATCTAAAATAGTGGTAATGATATCATACATTTGTCTTGCACTTTGCAGCTTGTAGAATACTTTCCCAGATATTATATCATTTAATTTTCTATTTTTTAAGTTAAAATGATTATTTTACTTACTTTATAGTTTAGTAAACAAAGTCTAGGAGAAACTAAATAAATTATGAATTATAACAAACAAAATATTATCTCAGAATCACTGGTGTTTCTATAGTGTTAAGAGGCAGAGGATTTTGGTAAATCTATTTATTTTCCCCAAAAATATGAGCAACGGCCTAGCCGTCAACATAAGTGACTACAGTCCTTTGAGCTATAATCATATAGCTCAGTAGCCACATAGCATATGCAGCATATGCTATGTCTAAATATGCTGCTACCAACTGTGGAATAATTGTTTTTTTTTTTCCGTGGACAGTCCATTCAACTATAATATCTTGGCAAATAGTACTCCAAGAGAAGTAAAACATTTCTAAAGAAACTGAACTAGGCCGGGCGCAGTGGCTCACGCCTATAACCCCAGCACTTTGGGAGGCCGAACTAGGCAGATCACTTGAGGTCAGGAGTTCAAAACCAGCCTGGCCAACATGGCAAAACCCTGTCTCTACTAAAAATACAGAAATTAGCCGGGTGTGGTGGCATGTGCCTGTGATCTCAGCTACTCAGGAGGCTGAGGCAGGAGAATCGCTTGAACCCGGGAGGTGGAAGTTGCAGTGAGTCGAGATCGTGCCACTGCACTCCAGCCTGGGCAGCAGAGCAAGACTCTGTCTCAAACGAACAAACAAACAAACTCAACTAATTAGATTTCTTATTTAACTGGAAAAATGTGCTGCCTATCACAAAAAGTGAAAATTACGTCTGTGAAAACTATTACATAATAGAAAACCTCTTTAGAATCAATAACACTCAGTAAATAAACTTGGCTTACCAGGTGTTAATATAAAAATTATGTAGTAGTAGTGCTTTTGGCTCTACTATTTTTAAGCTCTATCTTTGACCAAAGAACTATAGGCTTGAATCTCAAAAAAAGTATCATATAGAAGACCATAAAGAGAATAGCAACTGATAGAAGTTATGCAACTAAAATTTAGATTTATTTTTTATTTCAAGCATTTCCTTCAGAGTTTGCACAATCTGTTCAAAAGTCATGGATGCCATCAGTTTGTCATTGTTCAAAGTGATTTGTAAGAAATTTCAGTGTTTAGGTAAAATTGCATCATGTACTCTAGTTTGCAATTTCCTTTGAGTGTGCCCACCCTGATTTGCTTGTCTGATTTTCATTCTCAATTTTTATTTGTTGGAGGTTATCTATACTTAAGGTCAGATATTTATTTTCTATTTTTTGTTGAGAAAAAAATCAAAGAGAAAAACATGACTGTTTAAAAAAATCATTCAGAAAACCTCAATTTTTCGTGACTAAAATATAGCCCAGGTAAACTCAATTTCAGGATGCAGTACCGTATTTTCACCATGTTAGCCTTTCCCCTGCTCCTCCCTTATCCCCAGGAAGTAATGATCAATCAACCTAAGCTGAACTCCCCTCCTGTTCAGCTCTGGATCACACAGGGGATCCCGAAAACCTCCCTTCTATTAATTTGCCAACAAGATTTAAAATAAAACCAAAGCTGAAGAGGCAGGAAATGAATCCTCTAAATAGTTGACTCTTCTGAGAGTTGAGAATCAACCCTGTAAGTACCAGAAGGTAGGACATTTATCAAATGAAATTCTTTTTAAAAGACAGTCTCATACTTCTCTGCCTTGTAAATGGAATATTGTGAATGTAACTTATGCTATTCTTGTTTTGAGGGTAGGATGGATGGAAAGCTGCTTTGGTGAAGTGGAAACAGAATGGGATTGCAGCCCTGGGCTCCATTATGACTATGGCACTTTCCAGCTACGTGGCTTGGATTTATGTCTGTGCCCAAGTTTATTTCTCTGTAAAAGTGGACCCAGTAGCACATCTTGCTAGGCTGCCAGTGAACCACTGAGGTGATTTTTGTACAAGTACCCATGGCCACACCCACTACATTCTGACTAACAAATATGGTTATTTCTTCTCTGAGCCCATTCCTTCAAATAACCAGTGTGTTTTAGGATTCTTGGATCTTACTTGTAGAGATGAAGAGGAGCTTGTGGAGCTGTAGGACCTCTTGAGTGTTGACTCAGTTGTCACCCCAGGCCTAATGAACCCATGTCAAGCTGAAACATCCAGCTCTTCCCATCTCCCATGGCTTTCTCATCTTCCAAAAAAATAATTTTCTTCATTGCTGTCAGCAGCCTTCAACTTGCTCCCACCAGTCAAAACATCATCTATTAGTACTTCTTCATAATTAACAGTGAACACTCAAGGCATCTTGCATTCATCTGTTTCTTCCACGATGTGTGTTCCTGGATGACAAGTGTTCTTGGGTTCCTGAGTCAAAAAGATTGACAATGAAATTTGTTAATCACACAGTTCACATGCTAAAAAGCAGCATCAGTAGTGTGCATGTACATGCAGTTTTAAGTTATTCAACAAATATTTATTGTAGGCCTACCATGTGCTTCATACTGTCCTATGTGCTGGGGATATAAACAAAGATATAAGCTCTTGTGGAGACTACCTTCTAGAAGAGTGAGGCACACAGTTTACATAACACCAAGTATATTAGAGGGTGATGAGAGTTGTGTAGAATATAGATCAGTGCAAAGGGACAGAAAGTGCTGGGGCGGCAGGACTGTTGCGATTTCATGTGGGGTGGTCAGAGAAGGCCTCAGGAAGAAGGTGACAGATGTCTTGGAGGAAGTGTGGAGGTAAGGCATGCAAACACTAGGGGAGAAGCACTCTGGGCAGTGGGAACAGCGAGTGTAGAAGCCCAGACGCAGGGCCGTGCCTGTGGTGTGCGTCCCAGGGGCCTCAAATCGCCCACTGTGGCTGGAGCTGAGGAACCACAGAGGGAGCAGCAGGAAATGGGGACAGAGAGGGAATGGCCATGGCAAGGCAGACAGTCAGGGCTTCCACTCCGGATGAGGTAGGGCCGGTGCAGGACTCTATTAATGGAAGAGTAATTTGAACCAGGGATCCATGAATCCCCCAGGGTGCCTTGGTGGTGGAGGCAGGAGGAGGAGCGGAAGTTGTGGCTGTGGCAGGGCTGGGAAAATGGCGGCTCCTGGGGAGAAGGAGGAGTGAAGCAGTGAAGGCAGCGGTCAGACTCTGAGTGCAGTAACTGCTGATGCAGTGCTCAGCAGCCGGCCAGGGCACCTTGCTAAGCACTTCACAGGAATTCTCACAAGAACTCTGTGAGGTAGCTGCCACTACCGATTCCATTTAAATGGAGAATCTAAACAACATCCTGTCAAAATTGCCTCATTGACTCAGAATAGATCGCCTGTTAAGCTAGTTTTTGGTGTGCAAGAATGGTATGAAGGAAAAAAGTCTTCGAATAAAAATTATAGTGCTATGATTTTAAAGTATACCTACACGTGACCACTATAAGACTAAAAAGATTCTCGTTTATATTTTACGTAAAACACTGCTTCTTGGATTTGGTGAACAAAACTGCCAGACTTAACACAACATGTATAGTGAGAATGTAATTTCATCAACAGAAGACACAAAAATAATGCCAGAATTTCACATGAGATATCATAAAGGATGTCCAGAGCTCTAAATGTGAGGACCAATACAGTGATAACACCACTCCAGCTGAGGCGCCGTCACCATGTGTCACACCCGGGCAACAAGTGGTGTTGGAATTTTAATTCCTTCCAGAAGCACATGGCAGCTGGCATCTAAGGCCATCTGTAGTTATGAAAGTTATTTTAAAAGTTTGTCCAAAATAAGCTACATAAATAAGTGGTGTTTTTTCCTGATTCAACGGTTTCTAGTTTTTACAATGTTCAAACTGCACGTTTTGTTGAGCATTCATAGGAAATTTGATACAATAATTGTACTGAAGGAACTTAGGATATCATTAAAAGGTAGGTTAATTGGCAGCTGCAGTGAGCTTTTGTCATATACCGTTATAGCTCTAATATATGATATTTCATTAATGTTCACACATTTATTTCTTTCTAAAATAAATATTTTTTTCTTATTGAAAAAATATATATCCAAGTCTTATAGAATTTTCTTGATAAATTCTGGTTGTCCACACAAGCAGGATGATTAAGTACTGTACCAACAAGCATTATTATAAGAAATGTCTACTTTATGAATTAAATAACTTTCAACAAAACATTGTCAGCCCCTTACTTTACCATGTTTTAGCAAATTAAAGAGTGGGATAGGGTTTCATTTATACAGAATCATGAAATGTATGCTCCTTACATTTTAGATACACCAACAGAAAACAACACGATCAGGAACTTCAATCCTGTTTCAGCAGTTTTCTTTTCCTTCATATTTTCTGTTTAAGACATCAGTAACAGACATATTAGGAACATATAAGGCCATTCTAAAGGTCTCACGAATGCTTAGGCGCACTTGAGTCTTCCAAGGAGCAGTGTAATACATCTTCCATTTGATTGCAATACGGGGGGAGAAAATCAACTTTAGTTGATTTACTGTATATTTCATGCTGAAACGGTGTGTGTGAAGAGGAAAATAACTGTCTGGGTGACTGAGGATCTCAGCCCTTTTATCAGGATTAAATCCTGCCGTGTGGCTGATATCCAAACACCTGAGGCACATCAGCGAATCTTGCAGTACTGGGTGCAGCAGGGCGTTATGAGATGAAGTGGTAGGAAGGACATCTAGGTGAACAAATGTTCAGTGGAACATGGGGTCATATTCTGGTGATACTGGAGAGACCAGCCTGACACATTGGGCAGCCTTATTCTGTATTCCCAGATGCAGGATTCTTGATGCCCAGCAGAAAATAACCAAAAATTGTCATCTAATGAGTCTGAACAATAGTAGAAACCATAGTTTTTACTAATTTACCTAGAGTTGATATATTTTCTCTTTTAAATAACGTCCTATTAAAAAGTCACCAGATTACTAGAGAGTCTCCAATCCTTCTGTGAAATTTACTGAGTTATGCCCGCATCCACACTTCAGGAGTGCACTGCTCTTTTGTAAGCCTGTGTACCTGTTTCCACTGATTGAGTTGTTTGATTGCCAGTAGTCAGTTGTATTTATTCCTGTTTATTTCAGTTGTATTTTAAAAATCATAATCGTATAATTCAGTAAAATATCCTCTAAACAGATACAATCTGAGTGTGACAAGAGTTGTCATTTCGGTGAAAACCAAGGAAATATTTTACAAAAGCTAAAAAAGTGAAGTTGCCAAGAAATAGAAAACTGCTGTTCAATTAGGTGTGGAGATGATGTAAAAGACTGGAGGAAAAAAATCATGAAATTCATAGATTTTCTACTCAACTTACTTTGCAAGAATCTTTAAATTTTTGTTCTACTTTGAAGTTGTCCAAACTGATAGTAGTCGTAGATGATGCATTTTGGATATAGTTTATGTGAAAATGGTGATTTGGTTTTTTAACTGATGGGTTCTTATTGAAAAGCCTTTGCTCAACTTTAAAATGTGGTTGAATGGAAGTACATTTGTATGTTTTAGGCTAAAACAGTGTTCAGAGTTATATATTGTCTGCTTTATCCACCTTAACTTTTAAAATTAATTAACCAAACTATTGGCCAATCAGAAGTTCTCCAAGGGGCATCTTCTGACCCACAGGCAGGGTCACTGTGGGTTAATATATTAGCAAAGGTCTTTTGTAAGAGTTCTGTGTTGGAAGAACTGAGATATTGGGTGGTCTTTGAACTCTCTACTCCCATTAAGTGGAGTTGAATGGCAGAAACCTTTCCTGAAATAACTCAATGGTCAGAAAGCTTTGGAAGCATATCGCAGATCTACCAGTGGTTTTCTGATTTTCCATCATATATGATCCCAAGCTTTATAGGACCCAGAATAGGTATAAGCATGAAAGCTGCTCTCACAGCAAAGCAAAGCAAAGCAAAGCTAACATTCATATTTGTTGAAAATTTAAGTTAAGCATTCTTTCTTTCTTTGTTTGTTTGTTTGTTTCTTTCTTTTTCTTTTCTTTCTTTTTTTTAAATGATTTAGGGTTTTAACTGAATCTGTAACTTAATAATGCAGCACTTTTCCAGGGGAGGTTTCTCACACTATACAAAAATACTTAAATTGGCTATGGCTAAAGGGAAGGTGCAGAGGCAATTCTGCAAGATTGTAAAAATAAAATAAAAATGTAAAAGAAACAATAGAGTCATGTTGTATATAATTACCAGTTTACTATGAGCTAGTTTGAGAAATATAAGCCAGCCAAAAAAAAAAAATGATTGGCTGGCAATAAATACAATTTGAATGATTAACTTCACTACTGCTTTGGGAATCTGTACAATCACTGATAGCTGTAGTAGATGATTGTTGGAACTGATTTTTAGATCCTTTAACTTTGTATTTCCCCATTATTCTCCTTCTTGCTGTCTGCAAATATGGAGAAAATTAGATTCACTGAAATGGGAAGGGAGACACTTAGAAGGGGAAAGACTTCCTCTGTCAGCCAATTTCATAGGAAATTAGCAATATCAAAATAAAATGAGCAATCTTCTGGTCATCTAGATTAACAATCACCAAAATGATGAACAGTCACAGTATCTTTTCCTTTCTCTCTAATGATGATAAAAAGTGAAAATTTATTTTAAAAGACACCAACATCCATTGAACAGTCATAGCAGGGGACTGCACACTATAAGGAGGATGCTCTCAAACCAGACAGAGTTTTGAGTCTGGACTGAGAGCACAGAATATTTCACCAATCACTGTATGATATATTTGTAGCTTTATTTTTTTTGTTTTTCATTTCTCAAGAGACATACATTTTACAAAAGCAGAATTAATGCAGCAACATATATTTTTATGCTTTCACTGGTGATACCTCAAATTATCTAACTGCAATAATTATTTTTTTATTTTTTTGAGATGGAATCTCGCTTTGCCACCCAGGCTGGGGTGCAGTGACGTGATCTCTACTTACTGCAACCTCCCCCTACTGGGTTCAAGCGATTCTCCTGCCTTATCTTCCTGAGTAGCTGGGACTACAGGTGTGTGCCACCATGCCCAGCTAATTTTTGCATTTTTAGTAGAGATGGGGTTTCACCATGTTGGTAAGACTGGTCTTGAACTCCTGACCTCAGGTGATCTGCCCACCTCAGCCTCCCAAAGTGCTGGGATTACAGGTGTAAGTCATCATGCCTGGCCTACAATGATTCTTTTAAAACAGCTACCAGTGAATCATACCCACTATTCCAAGTGTCTTAAAGCCTGCCTCACTTTACCCATTTAAAGATGACAGCAAGTACACTTTAAGAATGAAAAATAAAATACTAAAACATTTCTTTTCATCCAATTTTTTCAGGTAAACTTAGTATTCATTTTCTCCACACAATAATGCAGTGTTAAATGTTACTTCATTGTTAAAGTAAAAATATACCTGATCTGTGCCCTTAAAGTTTAAAATGATATTTTCTTATTGCTAAAGTATAGCATTTAAAAATGTAAAATTCAACAGCATCTCATCAATTTAAAATAGAGTTGTAATCTTTTGGTAAACTGCTTCCCAGAGAAAGAATATGACTGTTCTTTCTTAATATACTTTCCCAGAGGAAGAATATACTTTCCCAGAGAAAGAACATGATTGTTCTTTCTAAATATACTTAATGCTTTAAGTATATTTCCCACTCCTCAATTAAAACATGAAGGTTTATTCTTACTTTCCATGGGGAACTTCCATTTCTTGTGATCTGGAGAATGTTTCTGGTGGCTAACTTTTTGGGTACTGTTTTAAGTTTGGGCCCTGGTGTATGTTAAGTAATTCATGAATAATATGCTGGCACAGAATACTATTCCAAAAGATAGTATAGAAGCAAAACCCAAAAAGCATTCTGGTGAATGATGATTTTTAAAACAAAGCTTTAAGAACATCTTGGTAGGAATTTTAGAAAACAGACTCTCAATATCCTAAGTGAAATATATTATTCAGTTACCCATACCTACTGGTATATGTGTATATGTGTGTATTAGTTCATTCTCACACTGCTCTAAAGATACTACCCAAGACTGGGTAATTTATAAAGAAAAAAGGTTTAATTGACTCACAGTCCCGCATGGCTAAGGAGGCCTCAGGAAACTTACAATCATGGTGGAAGGGGAAGAGGCATGTCTTAAATGGTGGCAGGCAAGAGTGAGCAAGAGCAGGGTAAACTGCCAGATTTTGTGAGAACTCACTCACTATCACGAAAACAGCATGGGAGAAACTACCCCCATGATCTAGTACTTCCCACCTGGTACCTCCCTCAACACGTGATGATTAGGGGATTACAATCAAGATGAGATTTGGGTGGGGACACAGAGACAAACCATGTCAATATGTTTTAAGCATTTACAAAAGTGGAATTGTATTAGAGAAGTCAACTAAATATGGGCCCATTGGTGGGGTACAGAATCCTGTCAAAAGGACTTCTCTTAGTGTATTCAATAGAGGAGAGAACTCACCTCGCTTTATTGTACTCTCATGTATTTTATTCATCAAGTCTCCATGTGTTAAAGGTCAAATATATTTCTTATCTGGAATCTTGAGAGATAGCCACCATGAAAACTCTGCATGGAGATATGAAAAGAGTCTCTGAGAGTACCACAGCTATGGGCTTTTCTTAAGAATGAAATACAGCCACAACTATAAGCATGTTTGATATGCTGCATCCCATGATGGCTATGAGGAGTACATCAGAGCTTTTTACCTTGGAAAAGTATAATTACATACATGTTTTCAAAAGCCTTAAAGTCAAAACCTGGCCATGAAGTGCCTTCTCATTTTACTCCTAATTTAACACACATGTAAAGGCATCTTCATTGCTTTAAATGTTTCCATAGAAATCTTCCTCATGCAGTGGCAAGCCAAGATTTTCCCATACACTCTATTAATAATTCACTGGAATACATGCCCTGAGAACTTACCACTATATTTTTAGCAACCAATTTCTGTCTTCCTGCATATATATACTCAACTGAGTGTCACTTCACTGCATAATGTGTAGCACTGGAAAATTTTCCAGGAAACACCAAGAGTTAGATGCAAAGTAGAGTTATTGAATTAATACCAGACTTGAATATTGAGCTAAAAGACTCACAGTCCAAGAGCTACACCACCTCCAAGGATCAGTTCACTGTCAAGAGAAACAAACAAACTCCCCATATATTGGGATGGGATGAGTGAAATAAGTATCTTCAAAGTACAGTGGCCAGTACCCTTCCTGTATGGTTTATGTGAGGGCCGTTCTATAGCGGTAGGTTCCTTCCTTGTTCTGACCTGGGTCTTCAGGAAATTGGCATAGTTGTAGTAAACCTTGGCATTGTGAGGCAGATTTTGAACTCCAGACCTAAAATTAATGCATTTTTTTAAAAAGCAGTAATGAATTCTAATTAGGAATGTTGTCAGTTTACTTCACATTTTACTTACAGTTGTATGGACCTGTATTTGAAATAGTCTGTTTTCTCTAAGTTAGGACATCTTTAAGTTTGTGAATTATATGAGACAGTAAACATGCATATATGGAATATGAAAAAGACAGATGTGCATCCGAACAAATGTACTGTGTATGAACAAAATGCCCTCAGCAGGTAAACATACGGCCTTTGCTTGTGCCTAAGACATAGCAGGAGCCTTAGTAAGTCTCTGTCACCTCACCTGAGGCATCTTCTGGGAGCACAGCAAGGCCTAACGGTAGACCTGAGAGCATATCATACAACAAGAGCTGTACATAACCTCACAGTTATCAGGCCAATGTGGCTTTCCTAATTTATGATGCGGGGGCAGATGCACCCACACTGGGGCTACTGCACAGTTAGGCCCTGCCAAGGCTGGTTACAAACCCTCTTCCTTCTAGGGAGAATTGCAGCATTAAGCCAGCCCTTCTTTCCTTTTGTGTCTGTCTTGTGGGGGCTTTTTATTCATGGATACTTGATGAAATAGCCTAAGGGATCTCCGAATGCACAATAAAGAGCCAGAGAAAGAAAAGATTTGGTGGTTTTCATAATGAGAATAGCTCATAACAACAACCTCCTCTATAAAACATGAGACATAATATCTGGTGCCCTCTATTCTGTTTTCTTTCCCTTTATTCTTTTCCACCATTCTTGTTTCCTTCAATGTGGGAACCCGTGGAATTGGTTAGTGTGAAAGACTCTCTCACTCTTCTCCCAGCTACAAAGTCATGGTTTCCTCCTTGGTACGCAGAGTTCCCAGGGGTACCATGATGGAAAAAAAACACATTCCAACCCTAGGGGTATGCAAGGAGACTTGCAAAGTTCCTTAGTTACTCAATTTTGGTGGACAGTAATATTGCGCTTGATTGAGAAAATGATTACGTTTGTCCTAGTCAACAATGAGAACAATGGAGCTCAAGGGGCACGCAAGGAAGGAAAAGGTGAAGGACTGTGCAAACCATAGCAGAATCATTAATAAAGGAAAATTCCAGAAATGAGATGGTTCTGGACAAATTAATTTTCAAGCTTTTCTGTGATCTGAAATAATTGATGTGGTCATTCAGTATATATGAAGGGCCTGCTATGTCCCAGGTGCTGTGCCAGATGCTGAGGACAGTCAGAGATCCTGCCTTCAAGGATGTACTTGAGGGCAGGAAATATGGGCAATGACAAAATGGCTTGCAACAATGGTGATAAGGGTGCCAAGGGAGCAGAGAAGTGGATGCTTATCCAAGATGTGGAGAACAGGAAAGGCTTCTGGGAGTCAGCGTCAGCTAAGCTGAGACTTTAAGAAGAGATAAAAGTTAGCTTCTAGAAGGGAAGAGGTATCTAGAGCAGAATGTCTTAACCAGAAGCCCCAGGGAAAAAAGAGCATGAGGCTTCTGAGGGATTACAATAAATGAAGAGTGGCTGGATCATAGAAAGCTAAGTCTGGAAGTAAAGAGGCCCTAAAAAAGTCTCCTTTTTGAAAATTAATTTTTTATTTTTAATTTTTGTGTTTACAAAGTATGGGCATATATTTATGGAATACATGAGATGTTTTGATAAGGGCATGCAATTCATAAAATAACATCATGGAAGATGGGGTATCCATCCCCTCAAGCATTTATCCTTTGCGTTACAAACAATCCAATTATATGTTTAGCTATTTTTAAATGTATAATTAAATTATTAATGACTACAGTCACTCTGTTGTGCTATCAAATACTAGGCCATATTCTTTCCTTCTAACTATGTTTTTGTACACATTAACCATCCTCTCAACCCCTCCACTACCCTTCCCAGCCTCTGGTAACCATCTTTCTACTCTCTCTCTCCATGGGTTCAATTGTTTTGATTTTTAGGTTCCACAAATAAGTGAGAACATGTGATGTTTGTCTTTCTGTACCTGGCTTATTTCACTTAATATAATAACCTCCAGTTTCATCCATGTTGTTGCAAATGACTGAATTTTTTTTATGGCTGAATAGTATTTTGTTTGTATAAGTATCACTTTTCTTTATCCACTCATCTATTTATGGACACTTGAGTGGCTTCCAAATCTTGGCTATTGTGAACAGTGCTGCAACAAACATAGGAGTGCAGATATCTCTTTGATATATTGATTTTCTTTCTTCTGGGTACATGCCCAGCGGTGGGATTGCTGGGAAGTATGGTAGCTCTATTTTTAGTTTTTTGAAGAACCTCCAAGCTGTTCTCCACAGTGGTTGTGTTAATTTACATTCTCACCAACAGTGTACAAGGGTTCCCTTTTGTCCACATCCTTGCCAGCACTTGTTATTGCTTGCCTTTTGGATAAAAGCCATCTTAACTTGGATGAGATGATATCTCATTGTAGTTTTGATTTGCATTTCTCTGATGATCAGTGATGTTAAGCACCTTTTCATATGCCTGTTTGCCACTGAGAAATATTTATTCAAATATTTTGTCCATTTTTAAATCAGGTAACTAAACGTTTTCCTAGAGAGTTGTTTGAGCTCCTTATATATTCTGGTCATTATTAATCCCTTGTGAGATGAGTATCTTGCAGATGTTTTCTCCCATTCTGTGAGTTGTCTCTTCACTTTGTTGATTTTTTCCTTTGCTATGCAGAAGCTTTTTAACTTGATATGATCCCATTTGTCCATTTTTGCTTTGGTCGTCTGTGCTTGTGGAGTATTAATAAATCTTTGCCCAGACCAATGTCTTGGAAATGTTTCCCCAATGTTTTCTTGTAGCAGTTTCATAGTTTGAGGTCTTATATTTAAGTCTTTAATCCATTTTGACTTGACTTTTATATATGGCAAAAGATGAGTCTAGCTTCATTGTTCTGCATATGGATATCCAGTTTTCCAGCACTATTTATTGAAAAACCGTCTTTTCCCCAGTGTATGTTCTTGGCACCTTTGCCAAAAATGAGTTCACTCTAGGTGTGTGGATTTGTTTCTGAGTTCTCTATTCTTTCCATTGGTCTATATATCTGTTTCCATGCCAGTACCATCCTGTTTTGCTTACTGTAGCTCTGTAGAATAATTTGAAGTAAGGTCATGTGATTCCTTTACTTTTGTTCTTTTTGCTTAGAATAGCTTTGGCTATTCTGGGTCGTTTGTGATTTCATATACATTTTAGGATTTTTTTTCTATTTGTGTAATGAATGTCACTGGTATTTTGATAGTGATTGCATTGGGCCTGTAGATTGCTTTCGGTAGTATGGACATTTTAACAATATCGATTCTTCCAATCCAGGAACATGGAGTGTTTTACTATTTTTTGTGTTCTCTTCAATTTCTTGCATCAGTGTTTTATAGTTTACATTATAGAGATTTTTCGATTCTTAATTTCTAGGTACTTGATTTTATTTCTGGCTATTGTAAATGGGACTACTTTTTAAATTTCTTTTGCAGTTTGTTCACTGTTGGCATGTAGAATGCTACCAATTTTTGTATGTTGATTTTGTATCCTGCAACTTTACTAAAATTTGTTTATCAGTTCTAATTCTTTAGGTTTTCCAAATATAAGATCACGTCATCTGCAAACAAGGGTAATTTGACTTCTTCCTTTCCTATTTTGATGGCTTTTATAACTTTCTCTTGTCTGGTTACTCTAGTTAGGACTTCCAGTACTATAATGAATAACAGTGGTGACAGTGGGCATCCTTATTCCAGATCTTAGAGGAAAGGCTTTCAGTTTTTCCCCATTGAGTATGATACTAGTGTGGGTCTGTCATATATGACTTTTATTATGTTGAGGTATGTTCCTTCTATGCTCAGTTTGTTTATCACGAAGAGATGTTGAATTTTATCAAATGCTTTTTCAGCATCAATTGAAATGATTGTATGGTTTTGGTTTTTATCCTTCATTCTGTTGATATGATATATCACATTGATTGATTTGCATGTGTTGAACCATTCTTCCATCCCATAAATCCCATTTGGTCATGATGAGTGATTTTTTTAATGCATTGTTGAATTCAGTTTGCTAATATTTTGTTGAGGATTTTTGCATCAATATTCATCAGGGATATTGGCCTGAAGTTTTCTTCTTTTGATGTGTCTTTGGTTTTGGTATTAGGGTAATACTGGCCTCACAGAATGAGTTTGAAAATGTTTTTTTCTCTATTTGTCACAATACTTTGAGGAGTATTGGTATTAGCTCTTCTTTAAATGTTTGGTAGAATTCAGTAGTGAAGCTATTGGGTCCTGGGCTTTTCTTTACTGGAAGACTTTTTATTACAACTTCGATCTCGTTACTTGTTACTGGTCTGTTCAGGTTTTGGATTTCTTCATGTTCAATCTTGGTGGGTTGTATGTGTCTATGAATTTATCAATTTCTTCTAGATGTTCCAATTTATTGGCATGTAATTGCTCATAATAGCCACTAATGATCATTTGAATTTCTGCGTGTGTTTTTTTTTTTGAGACAGAGTCTTGCCCTGTCGCCCAGGCTAGAGTGCAGTGGCGCAATCTCGGCTCACTGCAACTTCCATCTCCCAGGTTCAAGCAATTTTCCTGCCTCAGCCTCCTGAGTATCTGGGATTACAGGCACGCACCACCATGCCTGGCTAATTTTTGTATTTTTTTAGTAGAGACGGGGTTTCACCATGTTGGTCAGGCTGGTCTCGGATTCCTGACCTCGTGATCCACCCGTCTTGACCTCCCAAAGTGCTGGAATTACAGTCGTGAGCCACCATGTCTGGCCTGCAGTGTCAGTTTTAATGTCTTCTTTTTCTCTTTTTTTTTTTCCTCAGTCTGGGTAAAGATTTGTCAATTTTATTTATCTTTTCAAAAAGCCAACTTTTTGTTTCATTGATCTCTTACGTTGTTTTCTTCATTTCAATTTTGTTTATTTCTGCTTTGCTCTTTATTATTTATTTTCTTCTACTAATTTTGGTTTTGGTTTGCTCTTGTTTTTCTAGTTCTTTAAGATTCATCATTAGGCTGTTTATTTGAAATTTTTCTTCTTTTTGATGTAAGCACTTATAAGCTTCCCTTTTAATACTGCTTTTGCTGTATCGCATAGGTTTTGATGTGTTGTGTTTCCATTATCATTTGTTTCAAGAAAAATTTCAATTTCCTTTTTAATTTCTTATTGATCCACTGGTCATTCAGAAGCATATTGTTTAATTCCCATGTATTTATATAGTTTCCAAGATCCCTCTTGTTTCTAATTCCATTTGTGGTCAGAGAAGATGCTTCATTTTATTTCAATTTTTTTGAATGTTAAAGACATATTTTCTGACCTAAAATATGGTCTATCCTTGAGAATGATCCATGTTCTGAGGAGAAGAATGTGTATTCTGCAGCCATTAGATGAAATGTTCCATAAATATCTGTTAGGTCCATTTGGTCTATAGAGCAGATTAAATCCAATGTTTCTTTGTTCCTGAAATAAGTCTTGTGAGCCACACTGTTTAACAAGCAGGGGTGAGTCAGTGGGGTGCTTTAAATAGAGAAGTGAGACCAATAGTTTAATATTTTAGAAGATTTCTCTGAAAGTTGTTGCAGTAAGAAAGGAGAGTGAGAGAGAAAGAGAGAGAGAGGTGCAACACTGAGATCCAGAACAACAGCAGTGGGTATAGAAAGAAGAGGAGGGATTCAGGAATATTCATAATATTCATGAAGCAAAGTGATATGACTTGGTGATAGACGATTCCTTGGCAACAACTCTGCATGGTCAGTCGATTGCCTTCCTCACTCCTTTCTTCCCTTCCTTCCTTCTCTCCTTCCCTTGCTTCCTTCTCTCCCTTCCTCCTTCTTTTCAATTTTCTATTTAGTGGAATTTCTTCAGAATAGAAGAATCTTACTGCATCTTTCATTCAAAGTCCTTGATTTTCACAAAAATATGGACTATTTTTGATGAAGAGTACTGTCAACTAATTGATATTCTTATTTATTTCTACCTTTTATGACATTGATAGAATGCTCCTTACTTTGATTTTCAGATATGAAAAACACAATAGAAAGATCAACAGCATTATTTAATAACCAGATGTATAATACTTTAATAAGAAAACAAATTTTCCATTTTCTAAATTTCCTCTTTTTTTGCGCCTCAACAAGTGGAAGTTTAAATTGTTGGTTCACTTTGTAGTTCTTAAGCTACAACACAAGGCATTTGACATTGGCTTTGCTATGTCAACTGAAAAAATCACACAACTTATAAATTTAGAAAAGAAGAGCTTTGTTTTTTATAAAAGGTTGCAACTTGCAGGGTGGCTATCCTTACACAGCACAGCCTCCAGCAGAGACATAGCAGGCACTTCCAAGGAGGAAAGGAGGAGACAGGAAACAGTTGGCTAAGTGTACATATTCAACAGGTTACAGGAGGAGCTATAAGTATTCATGACGGGGGTCCTAATGCATGTGTACTAAACAAACCTGTAGGTTACATATGTCTTATGTTCACTTTGGGGTGGAGACTTAACATTTAAATTTATTACAGTTAGACTGTATACATAAAAAGGTGAAGCAGGGACACAAAGACACTCAGCGTGTGTGGCCTCTGTAAACTGCCCAGAACCAGTTCATGGTTGGTAGTCTCTTATCAGGAGAAAGTTACTGAAATCAGTCTCTTGTCTGATCAAAGATGTAGTCATGGCTCATGGAACAGGGTGGGGGTCAGTTAGTCAAACTTCGGCAATGGATGAGCTGCAATTGTCTTAATATTCCTCATCTTGAGGCCAATGCTTATTTAGCTACTAGGAAAAAAGAAAAACCTAGTGGCCATTAAAGCATAGTTTATTCTTTATGTGTAGGGTTGCATGACTTCACTCTTAACTGGCATGGCCTTAGATCCTGTATATAATTTGGTGTCTTATTGCCAAAAAGAATCTTTTCCATCAGTCTTATGATTTCTATTTTAACATTAATGATGGTCAGGTGTTGTGCCTACACTGCTAAAGGGAGGGATATAATGAGGCATATCTGACCTTCTATCCTGTTATGGCTGGGAATTCAGGTTTTAAGGTTTCTCTGGAGTACCTTTGGTCCGGAGGGAATCCATTCAGTCAGTTGGGGGACTTATGATTTTATTGTTAGTAGTCAGTTAATATTGTAGGCAGTTTTTAAATTCTATAAAAACATTTTGTTGATTTTTTTCCCCAAAAGGGTCATGTCAATCCTTATGTTAATTTTTATTAAACTTGTTTGGACTTCAAAGTTGGTAATAAAGTGACTTTAAAATAACAATAATTAGGACTAGTTTGTTTATTTAAAGAGATTGTAGTTCTTTGACTTTACAAGAGAATAAGAATAGCAGCTAACGTTCATGAATGCCTACTTATGTGCCAGATGCTGTCCAAAGCACTTTACCTGTATTAATTTCTTAAATCCTTGTAACCCTATCATCCTAAAATTATGGATGGAAAACCGATGAACAGAGAGGTTGAGTATCTTTCTCAAGGTCACACAGCTGGTAAGTGGCAGAGCTAAGATTTTAACCCAAGTACGTTGGCTTAGTTCCTGCTCCCTCACTTTAAGGAATTGACAACAGAAAAAAATAATAGATGGACTGAGTCTGTTTGGAAGAAAACTGCCTGGATTAGATTAGAGGAAAAGGCCAAGTGAAGGTGCTGGGAGTTGCTAGAGGAAGAAGTTACTGATGACAGTCTCACTTCTGGCAAGTCACACTTCTGGAAGTCTTAACCAGAGAAATGAGGGAAGAAAAAGAAATAAAAGACATCCATTTAGAAAAGAGGAATTAGGCCGGGCGCGGTAGCTCACACTTGTAATCCTAGCACTTTAGGAGGCCAAGGCGGGCGGATCATGAGGTCAGGAGATGGAGACCTTCCTGGCTAACACGGTGAAACCCTGTCTCTACTAAAAATACAAAAAATTAGCCGGGTGCAGTGGCAGGTGCCTGTAGTCCCAGCTACTCGGGAGGCTGAGGCAGGAGAATGGCGTGAATCTGGGAGGCGGAGCTTGCAGTGAGCCGAGATCGCGCCACTGCACTCCAGCCTGGGTGATAGAGCGAGACTCCATCTCAAAAAAAAAAAAAAAAAAAAAAAAAAAACAAAGAAAAGAGGAATTGAAATTAGCCTTGCCTGCTGATGATATGATCGTATATCTAGAAAAACCTAGACGTCACCAAAAAACTCTTAGATTTGATAATCAGTTCAGTAAAGTTACAGGTTACAAAATCAATGTGCAAAAATTAGTAATGTATTTCATACACACCAATAACAATCTAACTGAGAAAGAAATTGATAGCAACAAAAGATAGACAAATTTGTAGGCATACAGGGACTGTCTCTTGATTGGTTCCTTCTGAATAATGCCCTTTAACCAATCAAATGATGTTTTTTCCAAGACCGCCATGGACCAATCAGCAAGCATTCCCCCATTTAAGCCCATAAAAACCCTGGATTCAGCCTCACAGATGGCTACCCACTTTTGGGTCCCCTCTCACAGCTGAGAGCTTTTTTTCTGTCACTCAATAAAATTCGACTCTGCCTTACTCACTCTCCAGTGTCCCTGCACCTTATTCCTCCTGGTCATGGGACAAGAACCCAGAACTCGCTGAACTGCAGGGGCAAAAGATCTGTAACACTCCTGCTTGCCGAGCTGTGGGTGGTGGGAGTAAAAGAACTGTAACCCTCCCTCCCACTTGCCTAACAATGGGAGAGAAAAAGCCCCTGGGTGCCACTCCCTCCCACTCACTGATCTGTGGGAGCAAAAAAGCTGCAACAAATTCAAGAAGGCAATCCCATTTAAAACACCTAAAAAATATGTAGGAATAAATTTAACCAAAGAGGTGAAATATTTCTACAAAGAAAGCTGCAAAAGAATGGAAATAAATTGAAGATGACAAAACAAGTGGAAAAACATCCTATGCTCATAGATCAGAAGAAAAAATGTTATTAAAATGATCATGCTTTCCAAAACAATCTACAGATTCAATATAATCCCTGTGAAAACATCAACACCATTCTTCACAGCATTAGAAAAATAAAATCCTAAAATTCATATGGAACTGAAAAAGAGCCCAAGTACCAAAGCAATCCCAAGCAAAAGGAATAAAGCTGGAGGCATCATATTACCTGACTTCAAAATATATAGCAAGGCTCTAATAACCAAAGCAGCATGGTATCAATATAAAAGTAGATACTCAGACCAATAGAACAAAATAGAGAACCAAACAATAAAGCCATATGAATACAGCCAACTGATCTTTGACAAAGCTGACAAGAACTTACATTGGGGAAAGGACACCCTCTTCAATAAATTGTGCTGAGAAAATTGGATAGCCACCTGCAGAAGAATGAAACTGGACCCCTACCTCTCACCACATACAAAAATAAACTCCAAATGGATTAAAGACTTAAATGTAAGGCCTGGAACTATAAAAATGCTAGACAACAACCTAGGGGAAAGTCTCCTGGATAGTAGTCTAGGCAAATAATGTATGACTAAGATCTTAAAAGCAAAAGCAACAAAAACAAAATTAGACATATTGGACTTCACTAAACTAAAAAGCTTCTGCACAGCAAAATAAGTAATCAGCAGAATGAAGAGACAATCTGTTGAATGGGTGAAAACATTTTCAAAGTATTCATCATACATTGGATTGATATCCAGAATATACAAGGAACTCAAAGGGAAAAAAACCCCAAATAATCCCGTTAAAAGGTGAGCAAATGTCATGAATAGTCATTTCTCAGAAGAAGACATATAAATGGTGAACAGTATATGAAAAAATGCTCAACATCACTAATCAGAGAAGTGTAAATCAAAACCACAATGAGATATCATCTTACCCCAGTCAGAATGGCTGTTATCAAAAAGACAAAAATAACAGATGTTGGCGAGGATGCAGAGAAAAAGGAACTCTTATACTGCTGGTGTGAATGTAAACTAGTAGAACCACCATGGAAAACAACATGGAGATTCCTCAAAAAACTAAACATAGAATTACCATTTGATTCAGCATTTCACTACTGGGTATCTACCCAAAGGAAAATAAATCAATATACAAAGGAATATCTGCACTCATATGTTTACCGCAGCACTATTTACAGTAGCTAAGATATGGACTCAACCTAAGTGTCCATCAATGGATGAATGGATAAGGAAAATGTGGTATCCTGGAATACTACTCAGCCCCAAAAAATAATGAAATCATGTCATTTGCAGCAACATGGATGGAACTGGAAGTCATTACCTTGAGTGAAATAAGCCTGGCACAAAAAGACAAATGTTGCATATTCTCACTCGTATGCGGGAGATAAAGAATTAGAACACATGGAGGTTGAGAGTCGAAAAATAAGTAAGGGAGACCTGGAAGGATAAGCAGGCAGGAGGTGGGAGGAAGAGAAGTGGGTTCAAGGGCACAAGCATATAGTAAGTTAAAAGGAATAAATGAAGTATTAGATAACAGAATAGGATAACTGTTTTCAACTAAAAATGTATTGTACTCTGATTATGAGCACCCTGAATACTCTGACTTGATCAATGCACAATATATGCACATTACACATTTTCTCATGTACCCCATAAGTTGGTACACATTTTAAAAATACTCTAATAAAAACCCAGAAATTTGAAAAAAAAAAAGATTTTTTTCAGATAATGTTCCAAAAATGTTTTAGCAACTTACATTTCTGCTTGGCTTGCATATAAAAGTCGATTCCCCTACACCCTTACAAGCACTGGAAAGTATCAGTCTCTTTTATATGTTGCCAATCTAATGTGTTACATAATTATATCTCATCATTTTCATATTACATTTCCCTGACAACAGTTAAAAGTAAGGTTGCTTGTGTTTTCATACAATATGCCCATTTGTATTTCCTCTTTGATGAATTGTCATTTTCTTTCCCCCTTTTTAAAATGTCTTTTTCTAATCAATTTGTAGGCAATCTTTGTACATTAGAGCTATCAATTCTTATATGTGTTGCAAATATTTTATTAAAACATCTTTTACCACATTTTACATCTTATATAATTAAATTGTGCTTTTATAAGTCCTCTGAAAAAAGGGCATTGAACAGGTTCTCCCTCAGAGCCTCCAGAAAGAATCAACCCCCAAAACACTTGATTTTAGACTTCTGGCCTCCAGAACTGTGTGAGAAAAAAAATCATTGTTGTTCTGTATTATTTTTAGCCACCTTGTGTAGGGCAATTTGTTACTGTAGCCCTAGAAAACAAGTACAATGTCTAATTTAAAGGTAATATCAGCAGAGAAACGTTGTACAATGTGTTGGAGCCTGTTTGGAAAATATATTTGGACAATATGCACTTTCATTGAAATTTGGTTACATTTTTGCATATAAAGGATCGTTTGAACCTTAGGACTCAGCTAAGGATGTGCCAGTTAAAATACACTAACTAGGAGCTTGATGAAATTTCAAATAAGTGAAAACTGAAAGGGAGTGTGGGAAGTAAGAGACCCACCCAAAGAAAACAGAGCACCTGAAAGCAGCAGAGCCGAAACTTAAAAATGGCTGCTTCATTGATTTTCCATGTACACAAGTGAAGTAGCATTGGTAATATAATTTAATATGCTTCCTCGAATGAATTAAGAATTTAATCACAGGAGCAGGTGCAAGATGGTAGAAATGGTTTAAATTTCTGATTTCTATTTAAAAATTCCATTTAAATGTAGAATGCTGAGTAAGATTAGGTTACAAAGACAATACAGGTTAGAAGATCACCAGCTTCCTAATGCATTTAAAAGCATTTCTATTACTGTGCTGATATGAATGCCTTTTTATTGGAATTGATCTTTTAGTTCTCATTCGGTTAGCATAGTTGCTCTAATTTATTTTTCAAATGAGAAATATGCAAAATGGTCCTGTGGAAATGTGAAAAGATCAGAGCACTGCTCTGTGATGGCAAGAGGACGTATCATATTTGTATTAATGAAGCAGAAGTGGGTAACTAAAAGCCCAAAGACACACTGCTTTCCGCCGTAAGCTCCACTGTAACATTTCCCACTGTCCTTTTCCCATCTTTCATTTTACAATGAGCAAGTTTCAGAAAAAAAAATACAAATGGGATAAGTGCAAAACATTCCATGTATCTGTAGCTTCCAATGTTATTCCTCTCTCCAGAGTCAGGCTTCTGTGTTTACTTTCTTAATGTCCTGGGTTCGTACATTTAAGCGTTTTAATTGAAGTATGCAAGTGTTGACATATTTTTTCCATAAGGAAATGTAAAAATCATTGAATTAGGGTTCTTCAGAGAAATGGACCCAATAGGATATTCATGTTTATATATCTATTATAAGGATACTTTCTTTTATTGTCCTTTGCAGATATTGTTTTTTTTTTTTTTCACAAATTGAAGGTTTGTGGTACCCCTGTGTTGAACAAGTCTATTGGCACCATTTTTCAAACAGCATATGCTCACTTTATGTCTTTTCATCACATTTTGGTAATTCTCACAATATTTCAGATGTTTTTATTACTATCATATCTGTTATAGTGATCTGTGATCTATAAACGAACTTAAACTATAATCGTTGTGTTTTCTGGCTGCTCCACTAACCAGCTGTCCCTTCACCTCTCTCTCCTCAGGCCTCCCTATTTCTGGAGACACAGTGGTATTGAAATTAGATCAGCTAATAACCCTACAATGGCCTCTCAGTGTTCAAATGAAAGGAAAAGTCGCACATCTCCCACTTTAAATCAAAAGCTAAAAACGATTACGCTTAGTGAGGAAGGCATGTGGAAAGCTGAGATAGGCCAAGAGATTGGCTTAAAGCGAGGCCATTTGTGCCAAACAGTTAGCCAAGTTGTGAATGAAAAGAAAAAATTCTTGAAGGAAATTAAAAGTGCTACTGCAGTGAATTACATGAATGATAAGAAAGACAAACAGCCTTATTGCTGCTATGGAGAAAGTTTTATTGGTCTGAATGGAAGACCAAACCAGCCACAACACTTCCTTAAGCCAAAGCCTAATCCAAAACAAGGCCTTAACTGTCTTCAATTCTGTGAAGCCTGAGAGAGGTGAGGAAGCTGCAGAAGAAAAGGTTGAAGCTGGCAGAGGTTGATTCATGAAGCTTAAGGGAAAAAGCCATCTTCATAACATAAAAGAGGTGAAGCAGCAAGTGGTGATGGAGATGCTGCAGCAGGTTATCCGGAAGATCTAGCTAAGATAATTGTTGAAGGTGGCTACACTGAACAATAGATTTTCAATGTAGACAAAACAGGCTTCTATTATAAGGATATGCCATCTAGGACTTTCATAGCTAGATAGGAGAAGTCAATGCCTGGTTTCAAAGCTTCGAAGCACAAGCTGACTCTCTTGTTAGTGGCTAATATGGCTGATAACTTTAAGGTGAAACCAATGCTTGTTTACCACTTTGATAATCCTAGGCCCCTTAAGAATTATGCTAAATATGATCTGCTTATGCTCTGTAAGTGGAACAACAAAGCCTGGATACAACGTATCTGTTTACAGCATGGTTTACTTGATATTTGAACCTGACCATTGAGACCTACTTCTCAGAAAAAAATTCCTTTCAAAATATTACTGCTCATTGGCCGGGCACAGTGGTTCACACCTGTAATCCCAGCACTTTGGGAGGCTTAGGTGGGCGGATCACAAGGTCAGGAGATCGAGACCATCCTGGCTAACACGGTGAAACCCTCTCTCTATTGAAAATACAAAAAATTAGCCAGGTGTGGTGGTGGGTGCCTGTAGTCCCAGCTACTCAGGAGGCTGAGGCAGGAGAATGGTGTGAACCCAGGAGGTGGAGCTTGTAGTGAGTCGAAATTGTGCCACTGCACTCCAGCCTGGGGGGACAGAGTGAGACTCCATCTCAAAAAAAAAAAAGTATATATATAGATATATCTATATCTATCTATCTATATCTATATCTATCTATATCTATATCTATCTATATCTATATCTATCTATATCTGTATCTACCTATATCTATATCTATCTATCTATCTATCTATCTATCTATCTATCTATCTATCTATCTATATTACTGCTCATTGACAATATACCTGGTCATCCAACAGCTCTGACGGAAATGTACGATAAGATTAATATTATTTTCATCCCTGCAAACACAGCATCCATTCTGTAGCCCATGGATCAAGGAGCAATTTAGCCTTTCAAGTCTTATTTAAGAAATAAATTTTGTAAGGCTATAGCTGCTCTAGATAGTGGTTATTCTGACAGATCTGGAAAAGTAAATTGAAAACCTTCTGGAAAGGATTCACCATTCTAGATACCATTAAGAACATTCATGATTCATGGGAGGAGGTCCAAATACCAACATGAACAGCAGTTTGGAAGAAGTTGATTCTAATACACCTGGATGACTTTGAGGGGTTCAAGACTTCAGTGGAGAAAGTGTCAACTGAGATGTGGTGGAAATAGAAAGAGAACTAGAAGTGGAGCCTGAAGATGTGACTGAATTGCTGCAATCTCATGATAAAACTTAAACTTGAATGGATGAGGACTTGCTTATTATGGATGAGCAAAGAGAGTGGTTTCTTGAGATGAAATCTACTTCTGGTGAAGATGCTGTGAACATTGTTAAAATGCCAACAAATGATGTAGAAATTCCATAAACTTAGTAGTAAAGCAGTGGTGGGGTTTGCGAGGATTGACTTCAATTTTGAAAGAAGTTCTACTGTGGGTAAAATGCTATCAAACTGCATCACATGCTACAGAAAAATATTTCGTGAATGGGAGAATCCATCAATGCAGCAAACTTTTGTCTTATTTTAAGAAATTGCCACAGCTACCTCAACTTTTAGCAACCGTCTCTGATTAGTCTGCAGCCATCAACAGCGAGGCAAGACCCTCTCTACCAGCAAGAAGATTACAACTTGCTGAAGCCTCAGATGATCATTAGCATTTTTTAGCAATAAAGTATTGTTAATTTTTTTTCATTTTAATTTAAAAGGTCTGTAAATTATTTTTTAGACATAATGCCATTGCACAATTAATAGACTACAGTATAGTGTAAACATAACTTTTATATGCACTGACAAACCAAAAAAATCGTGTGGCTTGTTTTATGATGATACTTGTTTTATTGCAGTAGCCTGGAACTGAACCACCAATATCTCTGAATTACCCCTGTAGATAGATAGATAGATAGATAGATAGATGAGAGAGGATTTATTAGGGGAATTGGCTTATGTGATTATGGAGGTGGTCAAGTCCATGATAGGCTGTCTGCAAGCTGGAGACCCAGGAAGGCCCATAGCATGTCTCAGTCCAAGTCCACAGGCCTTAGAACCAGGGAAACCCATGGTGTAACTCTCGGTTCAAAGCTGAAAGCCTGGGAACCCAGTGGACTGTTGGGGCAAGTCCCAGAGGTCAAAGACCTGAAGATCTGATGTCCACAGACAGAAGAAAAAGGCTGTCCTGGCTCTAGAAGAGAAAGTGAGCAAATTGGCCTTTCCTCTGCCTTTTTGTTCTATCCTGGTCCTCAGTTGACTAAATGGTATCCATCCATAGTGAGCGCAGATCTTCCTTCCTCAGTTCACCAATTCAAATGCCAGTCTCTTCTGAAACACCTTCACAGACATACCCCACTACCTGGTAAAGCCTTTAATTCAGTGAAATTGACACCTAAATTTAACCATCCCAGTCATAAATTATTTCAGTAGATCCAAAACCATTATAATCACAGCAAGTCAAGATTCTAATAAAAACCTTTCTTTCAAGTTAAAAAAGATTCTTTATTTTTTATTGAGATGCAGTCTGGCTCTGTCATCCAGGCTGGAGGGCAGTGGCGCCATCTCAGCTCATTGAAAGCTCCGCCTCTCGGGTTCACGCCATTTTCCTGTCTCAGCCTCCTGAGTAGCTGGACTACAGGCGCCTGCCACCACGCCCAGCTAATTTTTTGTATTTTTAGTAGAGACGGGGTTTCACTGTGTTAGCCAGGATGGTCTCGATCTCCTGACCTCGTGATCTGCCCACCTTGGCCTTTCAAAGTGCTGGGATTACAGGCATGAGCCACCACGCCCGGCCTCAAGTTAGAATCTTAATTCCCTTTTCTTACATCACGTAGTCATAGAACTGGAAAAATGATAGAAAAACAAGTTCTGGCAATTGTACCTTCATATTTAAAAAATATTAAATTACTCTTTTGACATTACTGTGCAGAAGATCAAGAGGACATCTTCAAATTTCAGATGAGGAAACAAACATAATTTTTTAAAAAAGTAGTGTTCAGCCAGAAGCTGAGAGGAGTAGAAACAGAAAATTCATTTCTCTCTAAATTTTGAAACCTCTTTTGACTTGGCCCCTAGTTTGACTGTGACTACACTTTTAAGAGCTAGTTCTTAGGGAATGCTTGTTATGAATCAAGCTCCAGACTAAACACAACATTTCCTTGAATTCACTCATTTAATTCTATCGATAACTCTATCAGGTGGGTAGTCTTGTTCTCATCCCCATTTTAAAGATGAAGAAACAGAAGCACAGAAAGGTTAAGTATGTTTTCAAAGGTCACAAAGCTGGAAAGCAGCCGAGTAAGAAACTGAAGAAACCTTCAAGTCTTAGCCATTATGTTTAACTACCTCCTACACATCATCAAGGTCAGTCCTGAAGATGAGCCATTGTGTGATGTGAATCCAAAAGGCACCACAGGACACCAGCAGCACTAAGATTTTACTCTCACAAAGTTTATATTCAGTGCAGCAGGAGGTCTGCTGCTTTCTCTGGATCAGGAATGCAGAGGAGAATAGCAAAGAGGAACATACTTCCTGCAGAGGTAGTAGATAACCTAGGCCAGGGGTAGGGACACTTAAAGAGCCAGATAGTGAAGATATTTGGCTCTGCAGGCCACGGCCATCTCTGTTGCTTGACTCTGTCATTGTAGCATGAAAGCAGCCATGGAAAATACACAAACAAATAGGCATGTCTGTGTTCCCATAAAACTTCACTTACAAAAATAGGTAGAGGACTAGATTTGACCCAAAGGTTATAGTTTGCCACCCCGTAGTCTGAAGTGTAATTTTTTTTGTCCTTAAATTGCAGTGTGGTCAACACCCTCAGGAACTCATCAACTTTTTCCCAATGAATAGATAACTGGGCATCCGAGGTGTCAGGGAATATCGTCCTCAGTGCTAGTCTTTACCTCTGATTGAGGCCATGGATTCTTAACCTGTAGTCCAGGGACTCTCCTAAACAACTCTTAGAGAGCCCATGGACTAGATATAAAAGAAAATATATTTTATGTTGTGTCTTTCTAGGTATGCTTAAAACTCTGGAGGAAAAATCAATCAAATTATGTCACTTCAGTAATGGTTTTAATCCAAACAAGTGCCAGGTAGTGTGGGCTGTGACACCAGCTGAAGATGCGTAGCCATCACCAAGCCTGAGTTAGTACATCATATGGTTTCTTGTTATTAGGAATTAACATTTTTTGCAGTGTGGTCATGATTATGAATATTTCTCCTTGCTTATACTTGGTCTAATTTAGGTTGGAAAACATAAGAATAGAAGTTTATGTGTTCTTTCACTTTTAAATCAAATGTGAGCTTAAATTCTGGCTTCTCTTACTGGTTATGTCAGCTTGTGCAGATGGCTTACTCTTGTTGAGCCTCTGATTCCTCATGTGTAAAATGGGATTATAAAGATGGAGTTAAAATGTGTAAACCATTGAGCACAGCATCCCCATGAATGGAAGCCCTAATTAGCAGTGTTATGAAACCTGATGGGACACAGTGGGCTTATGCTTCTTGTGAATAAAGCTCTTGCCACTGGAACCTGTTGGGGACCCAGTCATCTCTCTCTTGAAAATACATCAGACAGTGGGATCTTGTTTGTGCAAAGAAGCTCATTTGAAAAGGCTGGAACTTAACCAAAATTTGGATTTTCTCCAAGACAAAGGATTATGCTAAGGTATTCTGTAAGAATTCTTCTAGTACTGCCAAGCAAAACCACTCCACATAATTAGAGAGGCCTTGGTAGAGCCATGTATCCTAGGAATGGTTGAGTGGGTTTATAGTTTGGAACAGAGGAGACACTGAAGCAGGGCCACTGCCAAAACTTCATCTTCACTCAAATGGTTGACATTTCTGCTACTTTTCTGAAGCAGATTGTATTCAAATTGGCAATTAAGCCTTCAACATGCAAGTGAAAGAAATCACTGACATATCTCGGTATAGCCAGCTCTTGGGTTGTGACCATTATGGCTAATTTGGGATTTATTCATCCTTTGAGGCTTAGTGCAGGACCCAAAAAGAAGCATTTCTGAATGCCCAGCTTAGTGCCCTGCCTGCACAGCCCGTGTTGACTGCAGGGTGCCCAAGACTGTCTCGTGCTGCCAGTCCCTCTAGTGCAGGGCTCAGGTCTCACGGCCCCTGTATCTTGGCACTTAGGTCATAGTAATGACACTAATAGCTTACATTGCTTTACCACATTCCTGCAATTTACATGTTTGTTTCATTTGACCTTTATACGATCTGACTTACAGATGAAGAAATGAAAGTCAGAATGTTTAAGTAACTTGCTTAAAGTCACACACCTAGTAAGTGGTAAGCCTAGGAGAAGAGCTCAAGAGGTTTGACTCCAGAGTCCACATAAACCAAAGCATTTATATTTCACTTTACATAGCAATGCATGTTTATTAAACTCATCCAAACATTACTCAGCATAGTCAAATTTATGAAGACATCTGGCTTTGAAGGAATAAGTGTATATTTAAAGTCTTAGATTCTTAAATATTATTGTAGGACACCGACTTTTTTTTAAAGATGATATTCATTTTTTTTAAATAGTATTACTTTTTATTTGCATATTAACAAAATTCTTTCAAGTGCTCTCCACTGGCCTCTAAGACTACAAATCTCTTTTATCACAAAGGTGTAAGGATCTTCTTTTAATAATCAAATCTTGACTTACTACACACTCTCAAAAAGAACAACACCCTTCTAGATGCATGGTCAAAACCAAGAAGATTTCTTTGAATTCTTGGCATCAGGTTTAGGATTTGAACCTCAACCCATTATCCTTGACATAGCTTCTGCTTTCTTTCCAAAGGCCCAGTCCCCAGGCTTGCTTAGATTAAGATATGGTTGCTTTTCAGGCAAAAGCTTAACATAGGGCAGAGATCTCTTAAAGTTCTCTGTAAAAACTCTCATAGCGGAATAGTGAAAAGAACGTTTAAGAAAAAAAAAAAAAGACTAAAAGGAAGTTACATTTCTGGATGCTAAAATTTGTTTTACAGAAAGACTGGCCCTGAGTAGTGAGAGAGAACATGTCCAAAGTGGTCTATGGTCATGATGCTAAGGTAGACTGGTATGATGGAAACTGAATGAAACTCAGAAGCAAAGGTTAATTTCAAAGCTCCCTACCTAGTACTATGTAGCATATTAAGAAATGGAAGGCATTAATGTCAAAGTGAATTTTTATTTTCTGAAAAAGTAAAATTGTCAAGTTTTAAAATCAGGTACATTTACTTTAAAATAGTTTATCAGAAGCAGAATATAGAGAATATGCCATTGTTTTTGCGGTACTGGAATAGGTTTTTCCTTCTTAGCCATACCTGATTTTCCCTGGGGAGTCCCTCAAACTTCTTCTGCTCTCTTCATCATGGACTCTAACCTGGTGGGGACAAGGGTAGGTGACCCAAATTCAAGCTCAGCTAATGGAATTCTCTCTTCCAGGACTTCCATTGAGGACAGACAGAAGCAATGGGAGTTGATCGATTTGTTTAGCGGTGGTTTAGAGCTTACTGTCCAGCCTCCTGTAGTAGTCAGCTCATCCTGTAGATTGCTAGGGCTGCCATAACAGAACCATAACACAACACTCTAGGCTGGTGGCTTAAACAACAGAAATGGATTTTTTTTTTCACAGTTCTGGAGACTAGAAGTCCAGATTAAGTTGTGGGCAGGGCTGGTTTCCTCTGAGGCCTCCCTGCTTGGCTATCAGATGGCTGACTTCTTGCTATGTCCTCACATGGTGTTTCCCCTGAGCCCACCCACTCACCTACAAGTGTTGTCTCTCTGTGTGTGCAAATTTCCTTTTCTTATAAGGATAGCGGCCAGATTGGATTTGGTCCTAACAGCCTTGTTTTAACTTAAAACATCTTTAAAGGACTATCTCCAAATATAGTTACATTCTGAGGTATTGGGGATTAGGGCTTCAACATACAGATATTGGGGGACATTAGTCAGCCCATAACATCACCCAGTTCTTATTTGCCACAAGCCAGCTTCCTCAATGTTCCCTTCAGTTTTGTGAGCCTCCCTCACCTTTGCAATATATTCGTCTTCTCCTTGAAGTTATCGAAAAATCAGTTTCTGTTACTTGCCGCTAATATACACCCAGTGTAGTATAGACAGACAAAAGTTTCTGTGAGATTATGTAAACCCTGACAGGCTACAACAGTTTGGCATAGAAATGTTCAGTCTTACATGCACTCATATGTTCACCGCAATAGCAAAGACATGGAATCAACTTAAATTGCCATCGAGATGGATTAAATAAAATGTGGTACATATAACTATGGAATACTACACAGTCATGAAGAAGAACAAAATAATGTCTTTTGCAGCAACGTGGATGCAGCTTGAGGCCATTATCCTCAGTGAATTAATGCAGGAACAGAAACTCAAATGCTGCATGTTCTCACTTACAAGTGGGAGCTAAACACTGGTACACATGGACACAAAGATGGGAAGAGTAGACACTGGGGACTATGGGTTCTATGCTCACTACTTGGGTGATGGAATCGTTCTTACCCCAAACCTCAGCATCACACAATATACCCAACAAACCTGCACATGTACCCCCTGAATCAAAAATAAAAGCTGAAATTATTTTTAAGAAGTTCAGTTTTTAAGAACTTTTTCTTGTCTGAAGTTTTTGAATCAAAATCTCCATTCAGTGGCAGCTGGTGAGAGAGATACTGAGAGATTGAAATGATTGGGATGAGCTAATGGGACACTTATGACTGGAATTACTGATAAAGTTATATTATCCAAAATATTCACTTGTGATTTAATTTTTTCATTTATTTGTATAAATGATAAAAGCTGCCTTTTCAAACATTATTAAATATCATTTTAGATATTTCACAATAGACACAACTTTTTCTCTGTGACATAGGGAAGAAGGAGGATGCAGATGAAAACAGAACTTGCAAAAGAGAGAGCGAGTTGAGGGCATTCATTCCACATGGCCTCTTTCTTAGCAGAGTAGACATGGCACCTATGAACTCTCATCACAGACTTTAGGCACCTCGGATATTTTATTTCATTTGATGCTTACAACTAAACTCTAGGGGGCGTCAAAGTTTTCCATGGAGTAAGGCCATGGGGATCAGGAAAAGCTATAAAATGAACAGAAGAAGACAGGGACATATGAGTCATCAGCTAGAGAGGAACAAGTTTTACAACACAGCTGAGGATAAGGAGAACAAATTTGTTGAGGAGTAGTCTATTTTTAGGACATTAGCCAGCAAAACTTGTGGCCTTTTAATAGGAAAAAGAACAAAGATTAGAAGAGTGTGTTCAGTGTTGGGGATTAGCAAATTAACAAAGAAAATCAAGAGAGGGAGGTAGGGGATAGTGGATGAGATAATGGGTACACTTCTAAAATGACCAACCACTGGGTATCTGCTCAGAAGGGAAGCAAGAGAAACTGGGCTGATAGAATTGGCCACCTCAGTTTTAATGGGGACAGACAGCTGATTTCGTAGGAATAAAAACTGGAGTAGGATACAAACTGGCAATTCATTGGAGTTGGGGCAGTTAAAAATGGTGTTGAGATACAAGCAGGAGCCAGGTGAAGATCCCTGGAGCTGGAGAAATGGTGAGGCAGAAACTCCAGACACACAGTGTGATGGTAGCGAGCCCCAGAGAATGTTTATACTCCACTACACATACAGGGCTGGGAGGGATGTCAGCAAGATGGCAGAATAAGAGGCTCCAGCCCTCATCCTCCCAATAGAAATACCAATTTTGGCAACCACCCATAGACGAGAATACTGCTGTGGGAGCCCTGGAGTCCAGCTGAGACTCCCTACTGGACCAAAAAAATCCAAGAGTGGATGCATTTAAAAGAAGAGCAGTTTCACTTTACTTGTGTCACCCTCCCTCAGGGTGGCGCAGCTTGGTGCTGAGAGACCCCCTCAGCTTGTGATTTCTCTCGAGTGGGAAAGTGAGTACTCGACTTCCCCAAACTTGTGGGGTCCTGCCCAGGAGGCCCACTTCTGTCTCACTCCACCCAGAACACTGAGGGATGTGCACAGCTGAATCATCCGTGGGCGTCATATTTCCTGACTTTAAGTTATACTACAAACCTACAGGAATCAAGACAGTATTGTACCCGCATAAAAGCAGACACATAGACCAATGGGTCAGACTAGAGAACCCAGAAATAAACCCAGGCATAAACAGCTAACTATTTTTCAAGAAAGGGGCAAAGGGCCGGGCGTGGTGGCTCACGCCTCTAATCCCAGCACTTTGGGAGGCTGAGGCGGGTGGATTATCTGAGGTCAGGAGTTCGAGACCAGCCTGGCCAACATGATGAAACCCCGTCTCTACTAAAAATACTCAAATTAGCTGGGCATGGTGGCAGGCACCTGTAATCCCAGCTACTCTGGAGGCTGAGGCAGGAGAATTGTTTGAACCCAGGAGGCGGAGGTTGCAGTGAGCCAAGATTGCACCACTGTAGTATAGCCTGAGTGACAGAGCGGGACTCCATCTCAAAGGAAGGAGAGAGAAAGAGAGAGAGAGAGAGAGAGAGAGATCTACTCTAATGCATAGTGCCTAAAACTAATAATACTGTATTGCATCCTTAAAATTTGCTAAGCTGGTAGATCTTATGTTAAGAGTTCTTACTGTACGCACACACACAAAACCCAACAAGAAAAGGGGCAGGAGGAGACTTTGGGAAGTGGTGGATATGATTATGGCCTTGACAGTGGTGATGGTTTCATAGGTGTACATCTAACCCCAAACTCACTGAGATGTATACAATGAATATGTACAGATTTCTATACGTCAGACATATCTAAATGAAGTGGTTAAAGATCAACATTATTATATTTTAGAAACAGCTTCTACCACATAAAAAAACATCAGGACATGAAAAAGTCTTTCCTCATTTAGCACCTAGGCAACAGAGCCCAACTTAACATCTTGGAATATTCTAAAGAAAATGTACTGCATTTCTTTTTCTTCCTTCTGTGGGAACACCTGTGCCTATTGCTTGACTGAACAATGAAATTAGGTTTATAGGTTTTATTTTGTTTATAGATGATTTTACAGCCCCACTCATCATTAATACTGTCTCCATTTGAATTCACAGACTCAAAAAACCTTCCCACTGGCCTTTTCTTCATAAATTCACTTTAGAAGCAGGTTGTTGGATTTCATATCATATCATCTGAAAAAATTAAAGATCTTAAATAAATTATATCTTCCATTCAGAGCACTACTAAACTACATTTTCTTGATTAATAGATATTACCAGTTCCATATTACCTAGTGTGTAAAGAGACATGTAAGCAAAGAAATAAATGGTGATTTATTTTTCTTTAAGTTCTTGGATTAAGATTTATTAATTCATTATAATGTTTAAAATGTATTATTATTTACTGTTATTTATTTATATAATTACTTACTTTTAACTGACAAATAATAATTGTATATATTTATGGGATACAATGTGATGTTTTGGTATACATATATATATATATTGTAAAATGATTAAACCAAGCTAATTAACATATCCATTACCTGACATACTTGTATTTTTTGTGGTGAGAACATTAAGAGATTTACTTTTGGCTGGGCACCATGGCTCACGCCTGTAATCCCAGCACTTTGGGAGGCCGAGGCAGGTGAATCACGTGGTCAGGAGTGGCCACATGGTGAAACCCCGTCTGTACTAAAAATATGAAAAATTAGCTGGGCGTGATGGCAGTCGCCTGTAATCCCAGCTGCTTGGGAGGCTGAGGCAGGAGAATCTCTTGAACCCAGGAGGCAGGAGTTACAGTGAGCTGAGATCATGCCACTGCACTCCAGTGCAAGACTCTGTCTAAAAAAAAAAAAATTACTTTTATAAGTCTAATCATATCTATATAGGGACTTTCTGGACAGCCAAATTTATTCTGTTTCAGTTTTCCAAGAGAAAAGCAGCAGCAGCAACACAGTGGACACAATCAGGGTGGGGCCCCACTTTAATTCAGTCAAGTGCAAGAGCTTGCTCAGTCCGTGTACACAAAGGATGCAGTAGCCCATGCTGGAAAACAGGGTGGAAGGAACGGGATTACTTTGGGCATGCAATGAAATCTGCCTGAGCATTCTATCCCGTATAACTAACTTTGAAAAAGTGCTCTTTCTTCTCTTGAGAAATATTTACATGTTATTTCTCTAAAGGGCTACACTAGCGTGTATGCTAGTCCTTCACGATCACAGAGCAGCATAAAAGGTTCGTCTCCAGCCCTCTAACTGCCCTGAATTTCAATAGCTCAGGCATTATAACAAGCCCCACCAGTATGTTCTCAGATTCTACTGGACCTGCTCACTCTTGCTCCTGTGTGCCTCTGCCCTTGTGTAACACTACTGGCATCACGTGTCCAAATTTGGACTCTATGCTGCAGCAGGTCACATCACAGCTTTGGGGGAGACCATCCCCGAGAGCTTCCTTGCTGGTGCTGGGAGAGATTCTGGTCACCAAGGGGCACTGGTCTCTAGCTCCCAAGATATCCCCTCTATGGCCAGCCAAAACCTTTATACTGAAGGAAAATCCACCCACAGGCTCACTCCTGAGCTGCACAGCTTGGGGCTCATACAGACAAGCATTATTGCTTAGATTCTCTTGCTGATTCTGACCCAGCTTTCCCGACAGGCCCAGAGAGTTCACATGTTATCTAAGAGGGACTTTGGTGTATCAATATCATGTCTCTAAAAGCCTTTGGCTTGGCGGATGGAATGTAGACCCTCATATTATGTATGCACCCATAGAGATGCTTCTTGGCTCAGAAGAACATCAGTGTGATTTTTGTACATATTACCGTGTACAGTTTAGCAACAATCTGATTCTTTGCAAAGATGAAAACTATAAATAATTATAGAATATTTTGAGGATGAGACATGCTATGGTAAAGAAATTCTATATTGTATAAAAAATATTTTCTGTATATTTGGGAACGTGTGTGTATATGTAAATATGCATCTATCTATCTAAATAATGGGTGTGTATGTAAATATGCATTTATCTAAATAACTTATTCAATTATTTATTCATTCAGTCATTCATTCTTTATTATGTGTCCATTAATATACGAAACTTGCAATGTGAATAAAACAAAGCACCCTTCTGTCAAAGAACTCTAGTCTACTGAGCTAGAGTGGTGTGGATAAACAGAAGATGTAAATATTCTCATTCCTAAACCTGCATCCTTTAAAAATGCATCTTTCCACTTTCCTTCTATTCATCTGTTGAATTGTCTGAGCTTTCATATCAAGGTAGAAAGGAAAGAAAGAAGCATTTGAGGTTTCTGGCTTTAGGGGAACCGATAAGTCAATCTGAGTTAGAGCCTCCAATCCCAAGCATCGAGTCCTATAAGCCAGTTGGTCCAGCACCCTGAAGTCAGAGGAAGTCAGTACCCTCCTATCACTGGGTGATAATAGCTTGACCAAGGAGTTTGCCCGCATCCCACCCTGTACCATCCATTAATGTCAAAAATACCTTGCGTAAATCTTGCACACACCAGAGCAAAACGTCTCTAATATAAAATTAAAAATTGAGAAACCCTTCCTCCTTCAATGAATTCCCATGTTCCACCTTAAATGCATCAGGATTTTCTAAAAGCAGCTTGCTTTTGTCCAACAGATCATGCTAATGTGCCCAGCTAAGATGGCTGCCGGACAGCTCTTGGCAGGAAAGAAGCTGCTCTTGAGATTGAGAGGTTGCCTGCCAGTGTCCAGAAGTCAGCAGACTTAGCACACCACTGGTTTTTGGAATAAATTTTATGGAACATGGTAATGCTCATTCATTTATGTGTTGTTTATGGCTGCTTTGGCACTACAATGGCAGAGTTGAATGGTTGAGACAGAAGCCATGTGGCCCACAAAGTTGAAAACAGTTACTATCTGGCCCTCAATAGAAAAATTTTGCTGACACCTGCTAGGGTGGACAAGGTGCTTCCATGGCCATACTGGGACATTTTGGGTGCCAGGTTTTCATTCAACAAATAGTTACTGAAAGCCTATCACAAACCCAGCTCCTTTCTAGGCACTGAGGTTACATAAAAGAACAAAAATACACAAAAATTCTTACTCTCCATAATAGTTTCCAGTTACGTTCTTCACAACAAATCAACAAAAACTAGGTGGCTTAAAACAACAGAAATTTATTCCTTCACAGTTTCAGAGGGCAAAAAGTCCAAAATTAAGGTGTCAGCAAGGGTGGTTCTTCTGGAGGCTGAGGGACAATTCATTCCGTGCCTCTCTCTCTCCTGGTTTCTGGAGGCTGCCAGCAACCCTTGGTGCTCCTTCGCTTGTAGATGTGTGACTCCAATCTCCACCTCCGTCTTTATATCACCCTTCTCCTCTGCATGTCTTCTCCTCTCTTCTCTTATAAGAACATTTGTCATTGGGTTTAGGGCTCACCCTAATCCAGGATGACTTCTTCTTAAAATACTTAAATATATCTGCAAAGACCCCTTTTCCAAATCAGTTCATATTCTCAGGTTCTCGGTGAACATATCTTTTTTTGGGAGGGCACCATTCAACCCACTCTACACTGATAAAACTTATAAAAATATTTGGAAGAGAAGATGCCATAAATGAACGATAAGGAAAATACAGTGTAGCACAGATGATAAAATGCTCTGGAGAAAAATAAAGCAAGGATGGAACTAGGAGAATGTTGAGATGGGGAGGACATTGCAGTTTTGTTTGTTTGTTTGTTTGTTTCTTTGTTTTGAGACAGAGTCTAGGTCTGTCACCCAGTTTGGAGTGCAGTGGTGCAATCTCGGCTCACTGCAACCTCCACCTCCCAGGTACAAGCGATTCTCCTGCCTCAGCCTCCTGAGTAACTGGGATTACAGGCATGTGCCACCACACCTGGCTAATTTTTGTATTTTTAGTAGAGATGGGGTTTCGCCATGTTGGCCAGGCTGGTCTCGAACTCCTGACCTCAGGTGATCCACCCGCCTTGACCTCCCAAAGTGCTGGGATTACAGGCGTGAGCCATCGCACCTGGCCAGACATTGCAGTTTTAAGTAGGATGGTTTGAGAAGGCATCATGGAAAAGGTGACATTTGAGCAAGCTCTGCAATAGGAGAGGAGCAAGTCGTGCATACCCATTTGGCACCAATGCCAGTTCTTCCCTTCCCACTTATGCATAAGGTGGTGCTACTAAAAGCAAACCTGTCCTGGGCATGCACTAGGTGCCAAAACACTTTCCATGTATTTTCTCATCTCATTCTTCACCTTGCATGTAAATATTTTTTACTGGTGAAGACATTGAGGAGAAGTTGTTATTTTTACTTAATGTTTCTTCTTCTCTTCTTCTTGCTCCACGTCCTTGTCTATATTTGGTGGTGTCAGTTTTTCTTTTAGCCATTCTAGTGGTTACGAAATGGCTTTGTTTTAATTGCCATTTCTCTGTTAATAGAAAACTTTTCATTTAACCATAGGGCATTCATATAATTTCTATTGTGAACTGTCCACTTAAATCTTTCATTTGTTAAAATTGTTCATTTTTCTTATGGTTGTTGTTGGTTTGTAGTTGTATATGTCCACTGAAATCAAGGTTGTTGAGGAAGAAATAATTTGATAAAGGTTTATTGGAAACCAAATGTAAGGATCGACCCAGGAAGACACACCGAAGTTGGGAGTGTTCTAGGGTCTGTTACAAGTTGGATGACTTTCATAAGAAAGTTTAAGAGAAAGGAGGCGGACTCCTCATACCTGAGTTGTTCTTTTTCATTGAAGGGTACAATATAGAGGTTACAGTCATTGGCTACAGATTGCAACATACAGGCTAAAATGCCTGCCTGCAAGACAACTGGTAAAACGCCATGATTCAGAAACAAACCAGTAAAATTTCATGATTCAGGAACAAGCCAACATCCTTTTCAATGCCAGTAGTTTATACATAAATCAGTATGTCAGCAACTCATGATAAGATTCCTTACTTAGGGACAGGATGCTGCCATGAATCACAAGACCTCCCCCAGCTGGATGAATTTGGAAGCTTGCCAAATGTGACCTATGGTTATCACATACAATAGATAAAAGTTCTTTGTCAGACATACACTTAAATATGTTTTTCCAGTTTGTGGCGCACCTATTTTTTTTTTCATGATGTCTTTTGATGAGAAAAATTTAATGTTGATAAGTTCCAATTTAAATGTTCTTTTTTTATGGCTAGCACATTTTTTATCTTGTCCAGTAAATATTTGTCTACCTCATGGCAGAGGAGATATATCACTATATTTTTAAAGAACATTATGGTTCTGGATTTTACATTTAGTTATATGACATATCTTGAATTAGTTTTGCAGAAAGAGTGAGAAAACGGTCAAAGTTCATTTTGTTCTATAGGGATATCTAGCTGTTATAGGACCATTTGTAGTTCACTGAACTTCTTGGCTATTTGGGATATCTTTAATACATTTTGGAAAATTCTCAGTCATTACCTTTCCAATACTTCTTCCCCTTTCTCTCTGTCATCTCTTTTTCAAACTCCAATTATACATATGTTAGGTTGTTTGATTTTGTCCCAAAGATCTCAGGTGCTGTTTTTTCTCCACTAGTTTTTTCACCTTTTGTTTCAGTTCAGATACTTTCTATAGATTTGTCTTTAGATTTATTCATTATTCTCTCTACTTAGTCCAGTCTGTTGCAAAGTCTACCTGATGAATTCTTTTTTGATATTGTATTTTTATTTCTGCTTGATTATTTTTTATAGTTTCCATGTCTGCTGAAATTACCCATCTCTTCCCATTTATTTTACTCCCTTTTTACTATATTCTTTGATATTTCTATTATAGTAGTTTAAAAATCCTGATCTGACAATATTATCACCTAATATTCTGCATTTATTCACTATTTTCTCTTTTGCCCACAGGCCATATTTCTTGCTTCTTTGTGTGTCCCATAATTTTTTATGTTAGACATTTTGTATAAAAGAATGGTAGAGACTGAAGTAAATAATATTTACCTCCATAGAAATCATTATCCTTCTTGAATCAGGCTGCTAATTGAGGAGTTCAGTCAATCTGATATACTGCTAATCTGAGCCTAAATTTTCTTGCAGTTTTGGTTTGGGTCAGTTTATCACTGAGTTCAAATGCTTTTAGAGTAGGATCAAGACTTTCTCCCTGTAAACTTTGGATGTGAGCTCTCATGAAGTCCCAGAATTATCCTCATGCTTTACATCCAAACAACCAGCTTTCCAAACTGTAGGAAGTCTCTGTCTAGTTTAGAGTCTGGATGTCAGCTCTCTACACAGTTGGAAAGTTTGCTCTGATATTCATACTTGCCCAGGCTTTTGTACCTTGGGAGATCTCATTCTGCTGTAAATGCTTGTCGGGGGGGCCTTATGCAACTCTCTTGTCCCACATAGAATATCTTGGATTGATTTTTCTCAGCTGTCTGTTCTGTCCCAAGTATCAGGTAAAGATGCATAATAAAGAAATGGGGAGCGAATATAGATTTATTCTGTGGCTTGGGCTCCTTGGAATTATAATGTTAATTTCAGTTCAAAATTAGCTGCTAAATATTTATTAAAATTTTAGCTGATTTCTCCCCCTTCATCTATGTCATATTCTTTCTCCCCCCTCCATTGCACTAAGGACAAGAATACCCATTAGCCTTTTCTTGTTTATGAAGGGCTTTTCACTTTCTAGAGTTTAGGCCACACAGGTTTCCTTGCTTCCTTAGCTCTCTGATTGATTTGAAAAAATTGTGATGTTGTAGCTTATCTGGTTTTTTGTCTTTAGTTTTTATTAGAGTATGTTTGGCAATCTTTTATGACCCTCTATATCTTAACTGGCAGCAACATTCTATACTTGATTTAAAATTGTTTTTCTTTTCGTCTTGCCATTCTTAGAAAATAATTCTTGTTATGAAGCTAGAGACTTTTTTTTTGTGCTTAAGATGGTCATGACAGCAATGCATGACAGATACATTCAGGATGAGGACCCATCACATATATATTCAGGTGCACTTGATCTTAGAACTGTGAAAATTGCATGCTTACTTATGCACTAGTGTTTTTAGAATGGTTCTTCGAGAAGCCCAAGTTGTGCTTTCCTGCTTCTCTAGTGTATTATTCTATGAGAATGTTAAACAAACCAACATGCCTGTGCTTGATTCCTGGATACTCCGTGATTTCTGTTATCTAGACCCTCAAAATCTGAAGCTACCTACATCCAATTAGACGGCTCAACCTTGTCCAGTTCAACATAATCTGTATAATACTACTTCAAATCACAAAACAATTGAACTTTAGTGGTAGGTGAAATCTTAGAAATTATATTACATTGTGGCACCAGAATTTTAAGAATTTTTCCTCCCAAATAACTATTTTTAAACAGTTACTTAGGTTTAATTTAAATGCTATGAAATTCATCTGTTTTAAGTATACAATTTAATTACTCTCAGTAAAATCATAGACTTGTGTAACCACCACCACAGTCCTGCTTTGGAATATTTCTCCTCCTCCCCCGCCAAATCCCTCATGCCTATTAGCAGCCACTCCACATTCCCATTCTCTAGTTCCGGCAACCCCTAATTGACTTTCTGACTCTACAGATTTGTTTTTCTGGACTCATATAATATCTGGCTGCTTTTTTGTATCTGGCTTTTGTATCTGGCTGCTTTCGCTGATATACTTTTGTATATACTTTCAAAGAATTGTGGTAAAATAAACATAAAATTTACCATTGTAACCATTTTTAACTGTACAGTTCAGTAGTGTTAAGTACAGTCACACTGTTGTGCAATCAATCTCCACAACTCTTTTTCATCTTGCAAAATTAAAACTCTCTACCCACTAAATAATAACTTCCTAGTTTTCCCTCCCCCAAACCCCTGACAATCACCAATCTACTTTCTGTTTCTATGAGTTTGACTCCTCTAGGTACCCCATGTAAGTGAAACTATACAGTAGTTGTCTTTTTTGGTGATTGCTTCTTTTATTTAGCATAATGTTCTCAAGGTTTATCCATGGAGAATGTGTCAGAATTTCCTTCTTTTTTAAGGGTGAATAATATTGCATTGTATGTACACCCCACATTTTGTTTATTCATTCGTCAACGGACATGGACAGAATTTTAGATATCTAAAAAACATTAAGGAGATTCTCAGAGGGTTGTCAAGTACGAATACTAATAATTAAAATTCATACTCTAAATTTTATCAAATAAGGATATTAAATAAAACTATCATCTGCCAGATCTGTGAATAGAGACGTTTAATTAGCCTAACTCAACAATCTAGAATCAGTATTAGTCACCTTTGCTGGAAGTCTGAGACTAGCCTTGAACTTCAGTTTTGATCTGAAGCTTCTACTCAGTTCCTGAGTCTCACCTCATGACTTCATGTGGACGGACAAACATCTAACCTGCTCTCCTGGACTGCAGCCTCTCTTGGTAAGCCACCTGTACTACACCCACTGAAGAGGGAAGTCTGGCATTGCTCATGTCACCCTTCTCAGTGGACAGGACCCCATTTTCTCCTGATGCATATTTTTTGTTGCTGATTACCCACGTGAACTTCTAAGCATCGCCTATTCCTGATGCTTATGAGGATGTTTCATTACCTCCCATGGAGGTCCCACACCAGTGCTTTCTGACCACTTCCTAGGGCCACTGCCAGACTGTTCACAGAGCTGGTCCCATGACAGAAGGACTTCCTCCCTTTCCTGCCTCATCCCAGGGGCTGAATCATGTTCAAGAGCCGTGCCTTCCCCGTCTGGGTCTGTCTGCTGAAACTGAGCAGATGTGGAAAGTCATGTCCCAAGACATAAAAACCTTTGAATAAATGGCTTAGAGGGAACTCCTCAACATATTCTCTATAACATTACTCTAAATCACAAAACAGTTAAACTTCAGAAGTAGATGAAATACTAGAAATTATGTAACTGAGAGGCATCAGAATTTTAGATTTTTAAAAACCATGAGGGGACTGTGACAAGGTTGTCAAATATATTAATAATTACTAATTATTAACCAATACCCTTAATTTTTAAAATACAGATACTAATAAATAAATAAGGATATTAATAAATAAGGATATTAATAAATAAGGAAATTAAGGTTAATTAATTTCAAATAAGGATATTAATAAATAAACCATCTGCCTTTATTATCATTTCATAAGAGAAAGGACATTCTCATACAATAAAACAGAACAGGCATAATCTTTGAAGTTAAAAATTGTATAAATTTAGCTTTATAAAAAATGCATTACATTATATTCTTTTAAATTTAATTTGGCCACAGATCAGTAAAAATTGTCATAAACCAACAGTCCACAGTGTTTCTTCTATCAGCATTTAAAGAGGAAGGCCAACCTTTTCATTTCACAGATCAGAAACTGGTAATGTGGCAAACTTTAATGATTTTCCAAGGTGAGTAGCTAGTTCAGTGTTTTTTGGACTACATTGGCCAAATTAATTTTCTGATAACAGAAAATGTCTTCCTTGTTGATGATAACACCGGCAAAAACTAGGTCCGGTCTCAATTAACCATCTCTCTTCTCCAGTGACTCTGAAGCATCAGAGGTTGCAAGCAAGCACGGACAGCGCCTCTGAATGGGCCCCACCTCCCATATTTCACATAACACCCCTCATGTCATATCTCAAGAAATAAATGCTGGAACCTTGTTTTTATTGTGGTTTCTATTCAATTAAAATTTTTTATTTTATACTGACCAATATGATTTGAAATTTTTACTCATAATAGAAAATAAGAGAGGGCCACACTCTTTTTCAAATTCCCCATGTCTCGAGTATCTATAAGCTTAGAGACTGAATACTATAAAGAGCATCTTCTTAAATTCACAGCCATTTTTAGTGTTTCCTCTCTTTCCTCAAATATTTATCCAATTTCTGTCTGTATTCTCAGTTATTCTAAGTTCTGTCCTATATATAATTCCCCTCTTTGCTAATTCTGTCTCCATCTGCCACCCCCCATGCCCCGTTCCAGTCCATTCAGGTTTTCTTATTAGCTTAGGATTTTCTCTTTAGTACCAAAGTGAGCAAATTATCTTATTCTGGCATGTGAGTGACTGACCAGAATCTATTACTTACGCTGACATCTCTCATTCACTATTTTAACTTCTTAATTGGAGGAAATTTCAGCCATTTGAAATATGGCTAAAACATGAAAAAAGGACCCATGAAATTATGTCTCCTGCTGTATAAAACTAAGGACAAAAAATGTGTAATAAATCAATTTAAGCCACAAACATACCTGCTTGGTCAAAAACAACACCCAAAAAACTGACAATTCTTACCAGAATAAAAGATTATTCCCATATAGTTTGCTGATGAAATTATGACCCTAAAATTACACCGTGCTAAGCTGGAGGCTGATCATATATAACCATTCCCGTTCCCTTTATCCAGATATCAATGTGCAATTGAAAGGAAGGTGGTATTTTAGGTGCTTTTGAGGTTAGGATGGAGGGAGAATAGACCATAAGTGGCTTATTCGGTGTAAGACATTGTATCAGGTTGCCGCGCAGAGCTGCCATAACAAAATACCACAGACTGGGTGGCTTAAACAACAGAAACTTATTTTCTCCCAATTCTAGAGGCTGGAAGTTCAAAACCAAGATACCAGTAGGGTTGGTTTACTCTGAGCTCTCTCTCCTTGGCTTGCAGATGGCCACCCTCTTGCTGCCTCTTCACATGGTCTTTTCTCTGTGCACACACATCGCTGGTGCCTCTCTGAGTGTCCTAGTCTCTTTTTTTTTTTTTTTGAGATGGAGTTTCACTCTTGTTGCCTAGGCTGGAGTGCAATGGCATGATCTCGGCTCACTGCACATGGGCCTCCCAGGTTCAAGCAATTCTCCTGCCTCAGCCTCCCAACTAACTGGGATTACAGGTGACTGCCACCATGTCCGGCTATTTTTTTGTATTTTTAGTAGAGATGGGGTTTCACCATGTTGGCCCGGCTGGTCTTGAACTCCTGACCTCAGGTGATCCACCGGCCTTGGCCTCCCAAAGTGCTGGGATTACAGGTGTGAGCCACCGCGCCCAGCTCTAATCTCTTCTTGTAAGAACACAAGTCACAGTGGATTAGGGCCCACCCTAATGGTCTCATTTTAATGTAATTACCTCTTTAAAGACTCTGTCTCCAAATACAGCCACCTTCTGAAGTTACTGGGACTAGGGCTTCAACGTATGAATTATGAAGGGACACTGTTCATCCCATAACAGGTATTAATAGAGGAGTATAAATAGCACATTTGTTTTGCTCATTCTGGGCTGTTCTTACAAAGGAGACCAAACCAGCCCCTTAAGATTAATGGGGACTAACCCAGCCTCCAGTGAGGGTAAATCAAACTTCTATGGTGTTCATAGATGAGCATTTAAGGACAGGATTTGCCTTCATACTAACTTGAAACAAACTTTTAGTGATAAAGAAGACCAAATTCCTCCTACAGAAGAGTTACCAACTGGACTTTTTACTCCCGTCTCCTATTGTTTTCTTCTATCTTTGGGAAAGCACAAGATTTGTACCAAAAGACAGAAAGTCCTATATGCAGGAATGTCCCTTCTCAGAGTGCTGATAGTTAGAATAACTGAAATTTATTAAACACTTACTCCACCAAAAACTATGTTAAGTACTTTATACAATTACTCATTTAACCCTTACAGCTTTCCAGTGGGGATGGTGTTAGTATCAACTGCATTTTATACCGATGTATTAACTGAGATGTTGAAGTCATCACAGCTAGTGATTGAGGTGGATTTAAATTCAAATCCAGTTCATCTAACTACAGGAGCCATGCTCTAAACCATCACACACTGTATGTGTCAACTGAGATAATGAATATAAGTTGCTTGGCGTATGTCTGGCATATAGTTAAGGGCTCAGTAAATTTGATATTACTTTTAATGATAAAATAATATTAATGAATGTAATAATATTTTAAAGTACTTTATAACGTGTCAAATGTTCTGAGTGAAAGTTAACCCTCTGATAGTCAGGAGACCCTGAATTTCTTGAGGGCAGGCACTGTGTGCTGT